>NC_000004.12:128921381-129224411 GCF_000001405.40 Homo sapiens | reverse complement strand
ATGCCAGTACATATATATAATGTGACACTGGAGGTGGCATGGCAATTAAGGGCATAATTGCTGTAATTACTGATGGAATTACTCATATTCCTCTATGCTACTTTTTCTAATTATCTTGGTTTAATGAAAATGTGTATTTTTGCATTGAACAGGATGTGGCCATCATTTGGCTGCCTGCCTGGGATGATGTACAGTGTCTGTCCCTTGAATGAACATAGAGCAGAGAGGTCACCACTTGTTTGCAGGAAGAAGAGGTTTCTGGAACACAACAGGCAATTTAAATGCATGTCATGAACATCCTGCAAAAGCTCACAGATGGGTTTCATTGGAAGAAATATAACAGTAGGGGGGACATTATCCTAGAAGGAGCCCAATAGCTTTACAGTCTTCAGGCTTTAATGAGAATGACTTGTAAAAATAGTACAAAGGTTTCATACTGTTTGTCCATTCTTCTTCTAGTCTCTAACTCAAAAACAGATTCAAACAGTATCATTTTTCCTGATTTTGTTACACTCTTTATCACAAGAATGAGGCTTAAAAAACTGGTGTTTTAAACTTACTGAAAATTGCAAGACTTCTGGAATCTCTCTCTCTCTCTTTCTCTTTCTCCCTCTCTATCTCTTTTACTTCATATATTTTAAATGTCTTGGTAACTTAATTGGCTGGCTATACTATTTATTTATTTATTTATCAGCCTGCTGGACAGAAGTTAAATAGATAACCATTCAACAAAGACTATAAAGTCATTCAAAACATATATCTGATATATGCAAAATGTACTTTGTAAATTCAGATAATTATTGGTATCACAGCCACTTGGCATCACTAATTAGAAGGGGTATAGTATTTACATTCTTGTTGTGAAAATCATATGGAAGGAAAAGATAAAGTTGAGGAAATTATCTTGACTCAATCACAGCAAATCTTAAGATCTACTTTCAGGGCCTGTATTAATTTCGTATTGTTGTTTTTAACAACCATAAATTTACTGGCTTAAAACATTAGAAGTTTAATAGCTTACAGTTCCAGGGGTCAGAAGTCTAAAGTAGGTCAGTAGGGCCACGTTCCTTCTAGAGGCATTCTTTCTAGAGTACTTTTCATTGTTTACAATCTCCCACTTCTCTCCAGGAAAGGTTTGGGTCAATCTTAAACTTTCCCTTTTTCTCATTTAATGCAGAGTTAATAATAAGCTAAGCAAAGTAAAGCCAGAAATACAGGCTGCTTGGGGGCATCCGCTGTTATCTTACATATTTTTGTGTCTTAGTGTATCCTTTTATACCCTAAAAGGCATTCGTATATATGTCAGGTATGAAATAAGGAGACAGAGTTCCACAACAGGAAAAGGGTTCCTGAGCAGGAGCATAATGTTTCTTGACAGATCCACACCAACCTGCAGCCCCTTAGCCATTGGTCCAATCTACACAATAACCATGTGGAATTAAATACATCATCCTGGATGACAAAGTAACTGACAAATAATGAGGAATCAAAGGGGTCATCAACTAACTGGATACTAGTCCAGATAAATTTTAATTAATTAAAAGGAAGGGGAAAATAATAATAATACATAGAGAGTGCCCTGTGTATCTTCTCTGTTTTAAGCCAATCTGACAAGATCAAGTGATAAATCATCTTTATTTTTACGTCACATATTTTTAACACCTTGGAAATTTAATTGTCAAGCTATACTGCTGATTCATTCATTTATCAGCCTGCTGGTAAAGTTAGATAAAAATTTAACTAAGAACCATTATAATCCAAACAGTCTTGCAGTGAGTATGAATTTTGTACACATCCCTAAGATGCCAATTATATCGCATTCTTTTATTTCTCTAAATTTATTCAGAAAGCATTTATTGAGCACCTACTGTGTGCCAGGCACTGTGCTAAAGATAAAGCATGATTAAAAAGAAAATCGTTGCTCTCATGAAGGGCTAATATTCTGGTGAGAAATATGGACAACACACACAAGTAAACAAAATGTGTATATACACATATATATGATATAAATCTATGTAGATATATATCATATATAGATATATCTATGTAGATAGATATATCTATATATCTATAGATAGATATATCTATGTAGATAGATATATCTATATATCTATGTAGATAGATATATCTATATATCTATGTAGATAGATATATCTATATATCTATGTAGATAGATATATCTATATATCTATGTAGATAGATATATCTATATATCTATGTAGATAGATATATCTATGTAGATAGATATATCTATATATCTATGTAGATAGATATATCTATGTAGATAGATATATCTATATATCTATAGATAGATATATCTATGTAGATAGATATATCTATATATCTATAGATAGATATATCATAGATAGATATAGATAGATATATCATTATATATGATATAGATAGATATATCATTATATATGATATAGATAGATAGATATATCATATATATGATATATAGATAGATATGATATATAGATAGATATATCATATATATGATATATAGAGATAGATAGATCATATGTATGATATAGAGATAGATAGATCATATGTATGATATAGAGATAGATCATATGTATGATATAGAGATAGATAGATCATATGTATGATATAGAGATAGATAGATCATATGTATGATATAGAGATAGATCATATGTATGATATAGAGATAGATCATATATATGATATAGAGATAGATCATATATATGATATAGAGATAGATAGATCATATATATATGATATAGAGATAGATAGATAGATCATATATATGATTGGGTTGTGCTCCAAGAAGAAACACAAAGCAGGAAAGGGGATGTAAATTATTGGAGGTGTGAGATTAAATTCTGGACAGGGTGGCCAGGGAAGGTCTCAACTGCAAAGATGACTTTTAGTTAAGATGGGAAGGAAGGAAGATTAATTAGCCATGCAAATAACTGGAAGAGGAGCATTCCATACTGAAGGGACAGCAAGTTCCAAAGCCCTGGGATTGCAAGCAGAAATAAAAGGACTGGTGTAGTGGGAACTGAAACAAAAAATGGATGAGAGTAGTAATAATAAAATCAGGGAAAATGAAGAGCCAGTTGCCATAGGGTTTGTAGGTCACGGTTAAGACGTTGGCTTTTCCTCTGATTGAAATGGGAAGGCACTGAAGTATTCTGAACAGAAGGGTGACATAGTCTACCTGTGCTTAACAGAGCAGTCTGGCTGCTACACTGAGAATAGCCTAAAGGAAGGTAAGTGCAGAAGGGGGGGCCAGTCCAAAGGGTATTGGAATAATTCGGAAATGACGTGACTTGGACCAGGTTGGTGTCCATGGGGATTAGGAGGAATGGTCAATTTCTGACAGAGGAGAGTCAGGAGAATTTGCTGATAATTCAGATATGGAGTGTGAGAGAAAGAGAGGAGTTGAGGTTCTGGGCTAAACAAGGGGGAAAATGGAGTTGCCATAACTGAAGTGGAAAAGACTATAACAGGAACTGATTTGAGGGAAAAATCAAGTCCAATTTGGGACATGTTTAGCTTGAAATGCCTATTAGGCAACCAACTAAAGATGTCAAGAAGACAGCTGGATATACGGTTGGGACATATTCGGCTCAGGCTCCCCCCTGGCTGGCTGGCCAGTAATCCAATCTCAGTCATTGAATACTAGAATCACAGGTTTACATTATTCCAGAAAACCATGAAGGGACCAAGTCCCTTAGTCCATGGTGATTCTAAACATTGCAGTTTGTTTCTTCTCCTTCATGCTGCCATCAAGAACTGGTCCTCCAGCCATCAGAGGCCTCAAACTTGTCCACAGAGAGACACATGTGGTCTTTAGGCCACAGTGTTTCCAGTTATTAAGGGCACAGGCCCAGACCACCATATTGAGGCTCACTCATTTTTTTACATAAGTTATTTAACTTGTCTGTGGCCTCTTCTCTGTAAAATTATTATGATATAGCAGTACCAGAATCTACCACAGAGGACTGTTGTGAGCATTAAATGTGTTAATACTCATGAAACACCCAAAATGCAGATTTGGCACCTGTGCAATAAAGAATCACTCTCATCCTCACCATTATTATTGCAAGAATCTGTAGCAGGGCCTGGAACACAAGTAGAGTCACAAATCCTCTGCCGTGTTCTTAATCTCAGGGACTTTCAACATTTTCCACCCCTGTTACCCCAAAACTTGGCCACTTTTGCCTCCCCATTATAAACTCTCTTCTACCTGCCTCCCTGTCAAAGATTCTGAAGCAAAGAAAAAAATTCTAGCTTGGGAGAAGGGAAATTGGGGCCCTTCAAAATTCTTTGAGACTTTTTTCCATAGGATAAGAATATAAGAATGGGGAAAGAAGATACTAGTATTAGTTAATGATTTTTTAATAGCCTATCCTTTATACTGTGACTATGTACATCCTTCAGTATGCCTTCCATTAGGACTATTCAAGGTCTGTTCAAGTCTGTCAGTTTACTTGATTGTATCACGATCAAGAAACAAAGACCCAGAAAGTTCAGATGGCATGTAGACAAGCCCTTACCCAATGACAAAGTGTCTTTGGGTTAGATGATTGCACAGAAAACACGGCACGCAGATTTGAAGCCAAACCTCCAGGCCTTCCTTTTTGGGCTGCTTTATCTTATCCCAAGCTCTCTCCCTCAAGTAGCTAGATGAAAATGATTTGTATTTAGCCATCACATGTTTGAATGCAAATGAGTGCTTCAGAACTTTACATAGCATATAAATACAGAATAATGCTTTTGGTATATTTCCAGTTAAAAAGCAAGTTCTCATTTGCAACAAAATATATTTTACTAACCAAACAATCTGACCAAAAACCAACAATTTGATCAATGCAGCGTATTTATCTGTTGTCTGAAAAAGCAAATATCCTTCTTTTTCTTTAACTTTATGTTCAAGACCTAGTGTTAGGAATCTTTACTCATGATCAAGAATGTTCTTTTTCTCTCATCTTAAAAGTAAAGTTTACTTCAATAATAGCCTTAAAAGATAGTCGTACATTTTAGCTGAAAAACACTGGATCTTTAAATTTAAAAAGCCTTTCATTTAGTTTCTTCCCAAACAAGATTTCTTATAGTACCCAACCAACTTGTGAAATATTTCAGTCATATATAAGCTTCCACTGATTCCAGGCAACAGCATTTTGACAAACAAGTTTAGCATTGAAACCAACAGTTGCAATTCAGTAGAAAGAAGTTCTCTCTTTTTCATTTTAATAACATTTCTGCATGAATTCCAAAGCGATAGGGTTCCTGTTATTCTGGATACCATGCTCATTACTCATGTCTGCTGGGGTATTATTGGATGTATACTTTGGAATAAAGAGGGCTTTTACAATGTCTAATATGATGTCCTTTGCAATCTGTTATTAGCCTGTGCATTGCCTTGCCAGTTAATCATCCCATTATAGATTCAGAAAATCTGACAACCCAGAGGGATTGAAATGCAGTGTGCTACAAGATTAGAAATAGCTGTATGAAAATGAAGTAAGGATAACAAATGTTGTAGATTGGTCCATAAAATAAAGGTTTCAAAAGATTTTTGTTCTGGAGATCTCTCAATACTTTTACCAGAAAAGAAAAGAGAGCGATGGATAAACAGAAAGACAGGAAAGCCTTGGACTTGACCACAGGTGAGGAATAAAATAAAAGCAGTTTGTTCAAGGTTTGTTGAAACCTACCCAACATAATTAAAAATAAAATTAATACATATATCAGCTCTCTATGTACCTGCCCTGTCATTTGAGAGCAGAAGAGGCTGATGCATTTCGTCAGTCATCCTCAGAACTGCACAGCGCCATTAATCTCACCACTTGTTTATGTGTTACGGTTGGTGCCCTTGCTTCTGCGTACTTTGCTGCCATCTCCAGGAAACTGTGATGACAAGAATAGCCAAACCTGGAGGGTTATTATAGCCCTGGAAAGTCTTGTAGGTGACTTTCTGTATTAGAAAACCCAGTATTAGAGAAGATATTCTGTAAAATCAAAATATTTGCAACTACCAAGGGTTATTAGAGCACATATAGAGTGTCTATTGGTTATTTATTGAGAAATACAACTCACACTAAAATGAGAATTTCATTAGCAAAATGGCAAATTCAGAAGAAAGCCTATGAAAATTGCACTTCTACTTTCCACATTGTTAAAGAGAGTAGAAAAATAGTTTGTCATGAACATCATTATTGCTATAACAATCCAAAGAATTAATGGTGAATTGGTCTGTAGAGAGTATATTGAATTACTATAAATTCAAATCCTTTTTTAGTGAACAAGTTGTCTAAAGGAGACAGTACACAATGAAATTTCGCCTGCTAGAGACCATAAAAGAGGATAATTAAAAACATAAAGACAGGCAGGAATTAGTTCTCTCTAGAAAACATCCTAAATTGGCGGGAGCTCTGAGACTTTTTAAAATTTACTCAATATGTCTGTATAGTGGTTACTGCTGGAAGAGGTCCCGTTTGACTCTTGTGTAAAGAAAAGGAAAACTGTTCTTATAGCCCTCAGGAAAAACTCAAGGTATTTCTCAGCCATGAACATGCAGCAGGTGCGCTGAGGTTCAGTGCTATGCATAATAATGTGTAGACTGTTCACAATGTCAGAGTATAGTGAACGCTAAACACATGACTAAATAACAGTGAAGAAAGAATGACAACTTTGGCCTTGATTATTTATGTTTGATCAGAAAATATATGCACAACTCTGCACTCTACATATAACATTCAATATATGAATAATATGTATCTATACACTTCAGATAAATTAATGGATAGGTGACTAGGAATTTCAACATTTAATAAAAGGCCACAAACCAATCCTTACATACTCTAGTAAAAGGTATATTCTAATACTCAATAGAAAAGAATAGCTTTTTAAATATATTTTCAAATAAGTATTTTGAGCTTTTATTTTTATTTTCATCATTTCTTTCTTTTTATTTATTTTTTATTTATTTGTGTATTATACTTTAATTTCTAGGGTACATGTACACAATATGCAGGTTTGTTACATATGTATACACGTGCCATGTTGGTGTGCTGCACCCATTAACTTGTCATTTACATTAGGTATATCTCCTAATGCTATCCCTCCCCACTCCCCCCACCCCACAACAGGCCCCGGTATAGTCCACACTCAAAATCAGAATTTATATCATCTTTTCCCCCTATTGGACTGCAATGACTTTACACCAGGGAAATAGTATCTTACTTATTTATAACCCTAGCTCCTAGCAAAATGCACAGCACAATAGACAAACATTAAATGTTTATTGAACTGAACTGCATATAGCAAACATATTCAGCAAATACAGTAAATATCACAAAAGGTTATATATTCAGGATGGAATATCTTCTAAAGTAATACTTTCTAATCCTTAGGACACTTGCCATCAAATTAAAGCTCAGTGCTACACCTTAGTGGGAGAAAAAAGATCGTTTACAAGTAGGTTTCACTATGGAAATTAAGCCACTGTCGAGATGAAAATAAATATTCTTTAGTCGTCAAGCCTTCAAATGAGAGTGGTACGAATTAATGCCAGTAATTTTCCTAATTCTGCCTTTTAAAAAATACTGTAAAACATCTAATAATTGGCACAATTTAAGTGAAAATAGTAAGGGATCGAAAAAAGAAACAGTACACACACCAAACAAACAAAATCAACAGAGAAAATGAGCCAGTCAATTAAAGATCCCTTTGTAGAATAGAGGCCTTGACTCAGAAGACAAACCAGATAGAAGTAGGTAGGACATCATTACATCACATACGGTATATAATCATAATATATCAATTTAGAGAAGACCTGAAAAAGAGACAAGATGGACTCTTCCAGAAGACTTCAGAACTTTTTCAAACAATAATTGTTAGTGGTTTATAAATTTGAAAAACATACAAACATGGTTTGCCCTAAACACTGAAGTCAAATTAACTTTATGAAGTAAGGGGTCTACAGCACCCAGAGTGGAAAAAATGAGCCATTCTTAAGGTCCTACTTTTTCTGTGCATTGTCGTTAGAGTAGACCAAAGGTATTGATAAGGCAATTCACTTTACTCTAGATTAGTCTAGCATGTAATTAGACTTTTGGCTGACATCTGCCCAGGGACCAGGTCCTTCCACAGCTCTGCCAGCTGCACTGGCTTCTGTAAGTGGAACCATGTTGAATGAGTGAAGGAAGGGACCAGTACTTTTTCAGTCTGATAATTAGCCTCCCCATCCCATTAAGTACAAGGCACAAGAAAGGGAAGAGCCTCACAATCATAACATTGCAGCTGTTCCATTTATTACAGAAAGAAAATTGATATCCTAATGCTGAGGCATGAGAAAAGTATGCCTTTTAGTATATAGGTTGCACAACAGAACCTGTTTATTAACACATGTGCATAACTAAAGTAAAATTTGTTTCTATAAAATATACATTGGCATGCCCCAAAGCTGTATGCCCAATGAAAGCATGAACAGATTCACAACATAAATAATTCCACAAGATACCAAAATTCCCCTCTACACCCTCCTCAAAAATCAACATGAAAGTGAAATTCAACCTGGAAAATAATTTTTCATTAATAAAACTCCTTTCTGGCTATTTCTTCCTTCTGTATGCTGTAATATCAGTCTACTTTTTAAAAAATCAAAAATTTCATGACTTGTTAGGAGTATCAAATAAGATAATCTAAGTAGAAAATGCTTATAAATGTAAAAGTTCTACACAAATGTTAATTTTTATTTTTACTGGGTTGGATGTGACTTCTCTCTAGACTTTTTAGGCTCTCAAGTGCAAATGTTGCTTCAAATATAATCATATACTGAAGTAAACTACTATACATTTAAACTGTAGGGATTGCAAACTTCAAGACGGAGTAAAAATATTATTTCTCAAGATGGGCTGGTTGAAGCTGTAGGAACCCGACATCAATCTGCTCCTCCACAGAACAGACCTAAGGGAACCAGCCCAAGTGTGAGGAAGCTCAGGCTAGTTGGGAAAGCAAAGTGCTTTATTAGAATGGGACACCATGTGTTCATGGGGTTACCTGTGATTCAGGCAACAATGGGACTCTAGCAGGTGGCCCCATGGATAGCATCACTAGCCAGATCAACAGTGAGGCTGACAGATTGCAACCAATTTCTACTAGACCTACTCTCCTCACCACCCTCCTTTCCCACAGCCACTGGAGCAGGTGCATCTTTTCTGCTAAGCAGGTAGGAGGGGTCAGCTGGGGTCTAATAAGGGAAGTTTGCACAGACAAAGCAGAAAAAGAGGCAGGAGCAAGCAGTCTACATAATCTTTTTTTTGTGCTATAAAATATTTTGTTTATATATTTATTCTAAAGTTTTTTCTTTTTATTTTTTTACTTTTTAAATTTTTGTTAAAAACTAGTACACAAGCACACACATGAACCCAGGCCTGCGCAGGGACAGGATCATCACTATCACTGTCTTGAGCCTCCGCATCTTGTCCCATTGGGAGGTTTTCAGGGGCAATAACATGCATGAACTTGTCATCTCCTATGATAACAATGCCTCCATAAACAGAAAGTAAGCTTTGCAGTCTAAGTAGCCACAGTCTTTTAGAAAATGTTTTCTCTTTAAACTGTCTAGAAACGTATTTCCCAACTGTTCCTTTTGGCATATGTGAACCTCACTCATCTCTGATCACAACCTATAGCTGATTCTCCTGATCCTGTCTTGATTCACAAAATAATTAGTTGGATAACCTTTTTATGTGCCTACTTTTCAATGACTTATCACATTGAATTAAAATAGTCTTTCTATTTGTATCTTTTCCCACTCTTAGTTTTCCATCAAGAGGATCTTTCTCTATATATTTCATTCTGACCTCCAATCAGAACCCTGCCTACTTGGATGTTATATCTAAAGGCAATTAAAATTATAATCAACACCTACTCTGAAACCTATAACTTCCCAAATGTGCTCATACCTTAGGTGGGCACTTCATACTGGATTACCCAAGTCCTGGAGTTGTTTCTATGCAAAAAGTCTCCTTAGAAACCAGAAAATCCTGGTGAAGATAATATACCAAATGGAACTCAGATGCCATCATGAATATATACTAAATTAAACCTGTTATATAAAGTACAGCATCCTTTCACAATATGGATTACAACAGATCTCAATGTGAAGTTTGGAGGAGAGCTGGCAGTGACAAAGGTCAGTGTGCGTGCTGCAACGTTGTCTCCTACAATATGGCTTCTACAGGATAGCTGGTGCAAGGGAAACTGTGAAAGCAAAACACTTCCGCCAATTTCACAGAAGTTAATTCTTTTCACTTGCTCTCCTGATGACTCAATTTACAACGTTCTTAAACTTGTTTTTACCTACAGTGTAGAAGCATTATACTGGGTGCTGGATGGGGATACACAACAAAAGCTGAAAAGGTTTATAGAGGTCTTTATGCTGCAAGAATAGGCTAACAACCTGTTTAAGCTGATGAGGTATCGCTACAAAACTATCCAGACTCACTTGGACTCTGTCCTCAGTAGCAGCCAAGTGCCTGGAGATAAGCACCATCATGCTGCCAATTTCACAGTGATATGATTGGCCTGTGATCCTTCCATTCTTCTCTCCAAGTGCTCAGGGTTTGCTAGTTTGACAGTAGTAATCTTGTACATCTTTTGCATTGTTTTATTTCTTTGTCTTTGTTGTTGCTATTTTGCCTTAGCAATTCTATTACATAAAATTGAGAATGCTCTGTTTGTTAAATGTTGTAGCACCAAAAATTTCTGTGGAAATTGCATTTTAGGTTTAGAAAAACTCATCCCCGAGGGACTTTTTAGGAACAAGTTATACTCCTAAGACTGAGGAAAGGAACGGAGGGGCAAAACTATACTATAAAAATGGCCATTATCCCTGATAAGCTCAAAAACTTAATGTAATTACCAATGAGTTTCAATATAATTTTGGCATAGGAATACCCGATGCAGCAGTCCCCAGTCTTTTTGGCACTGGGGACTGGTTTTGTGGGAGACATTTTTTTTCATGGGTGATGGGGGTGGTTTCAGGATGAAGCTGTTCCACCTCAGATCATCAGGCATTAGTTAGATTCTCATAGGGAGTGCAACCTAGATCCCTTGCATGGGCAGTTCACAATAAGATCTGCACTCCTATGAGAATATAATGCCACCACTGGTCTGACAGGAGGCAGAGCTCAGGCAGTAATGCTAGCTGGCCTGCAGCTCAACTCCTCCTGTGGGGCCTGGTTCCTAACAGGCCACTGACCAGTACCAGTCCATGACCCAGGGGTTGGGGACCTCTGACCCAACGTCTAAATGAAATAGACTAAAAAATCCAAAAACATATCTATCTATCTATCTATCTATCTATATATATGTGTGTGTGTGTGTGTGTATATATATATTGTTTTAAATAGGAGATTGATTATCTATAAAACCTCAAGGTGGGGCACAATTTAAGCAATGAAGGAAACAAAGAAACCATTAAAAATATAACTATAATTGTTTTTCTAATAATAAAAAGAATTCTCTTTGGCACAAAACACAAAAAAAAGTCAAGAAACAAACTATATTATGGAAGAAAGTATGTACAAAACTCATGACTGACAAATGGTTATATTCTTAATACACAAAGTGCTTCTACTGATTAATCAGCAAAATGACAAATTCTGTCATAGAAAAGTGATCAAAGAAAATATAAAGGCAATTTAGAAAAGAAATGGAATTCACTAAGACACAAATGCTCAACCTCACAATAGTAAGAAAAATGCAAAGCGCAGCAACAAGATAACATTTTTAACTCATTATTGTTACAAACGTGTAAGACAGGTTGCATCAGTGCTCATAAGGATATGGCACCCAGGCAGCCTCATGCAATCATGATGGGAGCTTGAATTCCTTTATTTTGGAAAGTATCTGGTAGTTTCTGTAAAAATGTTAAAAGGACATAACCTTAGACTCAGCAACTCTACCTCTAGAAATTTAACCTATGAAAACAAAATCACAAGCCTAAAATGATATATGTAGAAGAGTGTTCACTGCAGCGTTGTTTGTAATACCAAAGGAACTGGAGATAGTCCGAGTGGCCACCAATAAAGTAATGGTTAAATATATTAAGGTACATCCACAGGACGGACAATTCTGCAGTTATCACTGAGGAGTTGGAGCTTTGTACTGACCTGAAAATCTAAGATAATATAGTTCAAGTAAAAAAGGTACATGTTGTAGGGAAATATGTATAATATGATATGATATAAAGAAAAAATCTCTATAAATATGTATAGATTCATATATGTATGCACATATAATTCATGTATCATTCATGTAAATACATATATTAGAAAAATGTGAAAAAATACCTACCAAATATTAATATTGGTTATTTCAGGGAGATATGATTAGAGATAGAATAGGAAACTAATAATTTTTCCTTTATATACCTCTGTAGTATAAAGCATATTATAAAAGAAGCAGCTAATCCTGCCACTTTACTCCTACATTAATGTATTTCTTTATTCAACAAATATTTACTGGAGCTTAAACTTAAAACTAAAATTGTGTAATCACTTAAAAGGGAAATTCAAAATAATCCCAACCAACAGGTAAAATCATTTCGCTATTTTGGATATATTCTACGTCAATGAAATCGTTCAGCTGCAGCTACTTAAAAATTTTATTGAAGTAGTTTTATAGTTAGGAAACCAGTGGGTAACATGAGTCCAGTAATAAAAAATATTCTTATTATTTATTCTATGCTTCACGACATAAAACCAAATATATTATAGGTGTTTGATGAGATTCAGAACTTTTTCTCTTAATACATGGCCAACCTCAGTTACTCTATGAACCCCATTCTATGAGAAAATGAGAAGACCTACCTCGAGAGAAGAATGTAAATCTAAATTCTCACACCTGATTGTAAATTTGCTTTCTATATTTTGGGTAGGTGTTGCATTAGTCAGAAACCCAGAAGTTCGACTCTTCATGCTCTCCTCAGAGAAGTCACAAATAAATTTAAGACAATCATTGCCAAAAGTTGACTTGAGAGGCTTTCTGAGAAAAGCATTTTCTAGCCATTCCTCTAGATTTTCTGGGCTCTTTACTCTCTGTTTATATTAACTCCTGCATTCTTTTATCCTGTTTTTTGTTTTTGCTTTTTAATTATTTTTTTTCTTTTTTTGGTCCTGGGGGACCTCAGAGCCAAATGTAATACCCAATTGTAGTAACCAACTTATCCTAGGTTCCCGAGAGCATTTCTTGATTCTACTTTACGTGATAGTTTATCTACCTTTGTATTCTTGAAGTTTTTTCTTTAAACTCTTATTTAAGTGTTACGGTATATTATTATTTTTAAAATAATAACTGTTAAAATATATTTACTATTTTCCATAAATATTAAAAAATCCAATTAATATAGTTCTCGGACACAGGGACGCAAATATTGAATATACTATACCAACTTTAATTATGCATAAAGGTGCGTTTATGTTATTTTCTGAAGAGTATTTTTAATTTTCCTCCAACTATGCAAACACAAATATTTTTGAAGATGGTTCCACAATGGAGAGAAAGACATTTTTATTTGAGTGATTCCCCAATAAATTATGTTCTCAAATGACTTATCATAAATCATTACTTACTGTTCAAAATATGACAGAATTCAGACTTTTATGGCCTTCTAAGAGTGCCAGCATATGTATACTGAAAACAATTAATT
The DNA here is from genome assembly GCF_000001405.40 of Homo sapiens. Taxonomy (NCBI): domain Eukaryota; kingdom Metazoa; phylum Chordata; class Mammalia; order Primates; family Hominidae; genus Homo; species Homo sapiens. Next base: position 129,210,724 of record NC_000004.12, on the reverse strand, counting down.
CATCTCTCCACTCAATTAATCTGAAGTTTTGGCCATTCTTTCAGTAAGGAAAAGGGATCTCTTTGGATTTCTCTGCTGTTAATGACAAAGCCAGAGTCAAGAAGTATTTCTTTGACTGCACTGGCTCCATTACTTTATTTAAGAAATCTCATTATCCCCCCCACAAAAAAAACTTTAATTGTAGAGAAGCACAGAATTCTGCCACAATTTTACTTTTCTCACCCTCATTTTTATGAGCTATTTAAAATCTATATTGTATTAAGACTAGTTTTGTTATAGAACACTGGATTCTGAGTATTGGCTCATGGGGCTTATGTTCAGCATAAGTGTAAAATTCAACTGATGAAGATTTCAAAGAGGCTGGGTCAGAATCAGAAAGATTTACAACGATTAAAACCTAATATGAGGATTATTATAATTCTTTGTATTTTCATGGTTCTTTGGAGTTTCAGAGGATCATTGGAATAAATTATTCCATTCGGTCCATATAATAATCCTGGGTCATGTATTATTCCCGTTTTGAAAAATGAAAAAACTGGATTTTATGGAAGATAAATGACTAACCCAGGTTTTTCAAGGTAGGGAATGACAAAGATCATGAGCATAGACCTCTCTCTTCATTCTCCATGGTTCAACTAAAACAAGGTCACTGCCTTTTAAAAGATTGTCTAAAAGCTAGGGGACAGCAGAAAGGTAAATATGACTCCTCCTCCTGTGTACCTCTATACCTGGTACCATGGAGGTATAGAGTACCTCTATGCTGACCACCTCCTTCTATGGCAGGCACCAGCCCAGTCCCACAACCAGAGTGTCTGGAAGTGTGTCTGTCTACCCAGAGTTTAAGTCTAATCAAGAGGAAGGGAATCCCTCTTTATTCCAGCCTCATGCTCACTTTGTAAATTCCCATTTTCTTGCTTAGAGCAAGTCCTTTTTTGGAGTGTAAATGTCTACTTTCTCTACCGTGATATACCAGTAACTCTATCCAGGAGGACTTGGTCCATCGTTATCAACTGGGAAATTCTTTAAAGGTACAGTTGCTTCCTCCAACTCTAGATGTTTGGTGCTATGTCCAATATCTTTAATAAAACCCTAGTGATCTATTCCCACTTGGTCACGTGGAGCCAGCCCAATCCATTCCCTTTTAAAAGGGATCTCTCCAGGCCCAGGGGAGACAACGTCTGTGTGATCTTCCTGCAGTTTTCAGACTTTCTGCTTAATCTCCTACAAGCAGTTGCTTGAAGAAGAGCATGTACATGTCGTACCAGGACCAAACAACGATAGCTGTTTGTGGAGTGCTTTGAATCTATATATAAAGAAACAATTCTCTCTATCCTCATTCTGCTTCCACCAAAACCAAAAGGATCTTCAGAAACTTAACACATCAAATATAAACCCAATGTATATAACTCTATATTTAAGTCTATATAGACTTAAATAGAATACTTATCTTTTTAATTTAGAATATCTACATTCAAGTTATTTCATAGTATTTTTCCAAAATGATTGACAGATTATTTACTTCCTAGAACTAAATGAGCTATTATCGTGGTTTTGGCTTATGTATGTGTGATTTTTTTCTTTTAGTTTTATCTTCTGAACAAATAACCAGCCTTCTCCAAAGAGAAACTTAAGTCCCTAGGGAATATAGAAAACAGCAACTTGGAAACAGCAATTTTTCCGTCTTCTGACCATCAAGTCCTAGTCTCAGCTCTTTACAGAAATTTTCAGATGCATTCTTTCTCACTTACTATCTGCAGAGCTCTAACTACCTTCAAAAGTGCAACAAAAGCAGAAATGAAAAGAGGTAATATGTCTATCTGGATCCTCTTCGTGCCATCAGCATCTCGCATATTGAAGACGTTCAAGAAATGTGGGGTGGATGGATGGGCAAATAATAAAAGAATTAACAAATTCAATATGACTCGTTTGTTTCAGTTAACTATTGCTCTATGGTTTAAAATAGCAATGCTTTTTTTATTTCTTGGGATTCTGTGGGCTGGCTGGGCAGATTTGCTGCTGGATTTGCCTGGGATTATCCATTCAGCTGCATTTAGCTGCAGGATCAACTGGGATGAAAGTGAGGCCTCACTTGGATGTCTGATGGTTGGTACTGGCTGTGAGCTGGAATGCCTTGGTTCTCCTTCACTTGTGCTCTCATTTTCTAGTGAGTTAGACAGGCTTCCTTACATGGCAAATGCAGGGCAGCATTCAAAGGGTGTGAAGGTAGAAGGTGCATGTCCTCTTATTTCCAGACTTCAACATTCACACAGCATTACTTCTACGGCATATGTTAGTCAAGGAAAGACACAAGGCCAGTCCAGATTCAGGGTTTGGAGAAATGTACTCCACCTGTGGAATGAAGGGACTGCAAAGAATTCGTTTCACAGTCTACCCCCTAGCCACCCTCTTGTATAGTCCTTGCACGTGCAAAATGTGCTCACCTCCTCTCAAGCCCCCAATAAGTGTCATTCATTCAGAGCATCTGGCTCAGATTCCAATATCTAGAATTTGTAGCCACATTTAATTTATCACCCACTCATGCACCATAAAATCAGCACCTGCTACAAGTAAGCTGTAAGAGTTCCTGCCCCATTTATAAATAACCTCCTGGACTCAATCACTTCCCTCCTCCTTTGCACCACTTCCTCCCTAATTAACAAATTTTCCAATACCTGACCTCTTGCTTTGCCTCTCACTTTTATCTCTACATTTTCTCCTCCTATCCGCCGATACAGTTTGTCTAACATAGCCTAGGAATCTTCTCCTCAGAAACGTTTTATTCCCTTTCTGGTTCCCTTCTGCTTCTGTGTCTCTTAGTAACTAACCCATCCCAACAACCCCCATATGGCTAGAGTGAGGGTCAGATGGAGTAAAGAGATTAAACTAATGTTTTGAAATATTTATGACATTTCTTGGAAAATCAAAGCAGTTGAGTTTTATTTATGACTTCAGTAACGATTTGCAGTTTAATACTTCAGTGATTCACTCACCTGTCTATAAAATAGAATAAATGATCTGACCTGGGGCTATAGCTTGCCTCCTACCTATCTACAATTTGTTACTCAGAGAATTTCCAGAGACATTGCTATATATTCTACTTTTTCATCCCATGGAAAAACTATATTACTTTACAGTGATCACACATTTTAATTGGCAAGTTTAATTATATACTGTAATCGTCTTCTGAATTATACCTCAGAATGGTTTGATCAAGAAGAACTGATTTTATTAAATTTGACAGAACTCACTTACAATTAACTTCCTAGAGAATAACTTCTGTTAAAAAAGAAATTGCTATTTGTGTTTCATCTTACATTCTTATTATAACCTTAGCCCTGATTTATTATGATAAAGAGAACTAAAAATGGCTATACTTCTTTCTTTTATAATAGACTTCTTAAGCACTCATTTCACATACCAAAACAACTTGAATGAAGTAACCAAACCATCACTGTGATTCCTTTTGCTAGAAATAGGGTCAGAGCAGATAAATTAACTTCATTTCTCAGGTGTATGTCTTTAGTCTCCATAATCCATGGGCTCTGCCCAAAAGTAAAACACCACACAATATAATTTATAATTGGAGCTATTTGTTTAGAAATAGCATTTGTTATTTTCTGTGCCTATAATTGTTTAAAGCTGTGTAACATCCCATGCTCCTGACTTTTTGTAATTTCATTTGGACATTCCCTGCCAAAATAAACTCAGATTTTCATACTTGAATATTATCTTCAGGCATCACTTAAACTCCAGCTATGATTCTGATAGCAGCTTGTGCAGAATAACTATTAAGAAAATACACTGATTATCCAAAATATACATTTGAGCCACATTCTAAACATTCTCAATAAGCCAAACATAATTGATTCATTTACTCAACAAATATTTGTCTACCATGTGCAGGAGATACATATAAAACAAAGCCCTGGCTTTTGTTCCACTTACATCCTAGTGTGTGAAAAAGTCAGTCAAATAAATAAGTAAGTGTAGAGGGCACTCAACAGAGATTAGTCAAGTAAGGAAATAATAAAACAGAATGAAGAGATAGTGAGTACAAGGTTGGGGCAGGGGGAAAGGAGGTTGCTATTTTATGTAGCAGTATTGCCTATTATTAATAGATATAGATAAGGCCATAATGTCTGACAAATTTATTTCAGTCCAGGTAAATGACCTCCAGAATGTATTTCTAACTCTGGCCAAGCTCTCTCTTCCTCTCTCCAGGATTACATGGCAGATTATGCCTCCTTTGTCTCCCATGTTACTGATCTTAGCACACTGATATTGGACAATCATGTGGATTTCTTATCTCCTGATACCTTCCTTAATTCCACTGAGTCTGATTAAGAGAAAACAACTGATGCAAAGATTGCCTTCCTCTTTAGAGACTTATCTTTGAATCTGTTATATTCTTGAAAGTGGGCAAATCAGGCTTCCTGAGGTTGGAGATTAAAGTTCTCAACAGAACTACTACCATTCGACTCAGCAGTACCACTACTAGGTATCTACCAAAAGGAAAAGAAATGATTACATCAGAAAGATACCTGCATTCGTATGTTTACTGCAGCACTATTCACACTAGTAAAGATATGGAATCAACCAGACAGTCCATCAATGGTTGATTGGATAAAGAGAACATGGCGTATATATGATAGAATATTCTTCAGCCATAAAAAAGAATGAAATCCTGTGTTTTGCAGTAATGTGGCTGGAACTGGAGGCCATTATCTTAAGTGAAACAATTGGGAAATAGAAAGTCAAATATCGCATGTTCTCATAAGTGGTAGCTAAAGAAAGTACACACAGACAGAGTATGGAATAATAGACAGTGGAGACTAGGAAGTGTGGAAGACGGTAAGGGATGAAAAATTATTATACTTAGTGGATACAGTGTACACTATTCAGGGAATGGTTACACTAAAAGCCTACACTTCACCACTACCCAATATATTCATGTAACAAAACTGCATTCATACTCTTTAAATTTATACAAATAAATAAATAAATAAAAATGAAGTTCCTTGCTGAAGTCATCCCTGCTCTGTGTTTTTCCTTTGAAGATTTATCAAGTCTTTTCTCTTTTCTATTCAAAGCCAGAGAAAAGAACTTAAAAAATGCCAGAAGCCAAAAAATAAAAATTAAAAAACCCTGCAACTGCCTTATATGAAAATAATCTCAGTTGACATAAAAATTAAATTGTAGATCTTTTACTAGATGTTTCAGTTATATACAAGTTAGCTTTTATGATCATTTACCTTAATGCTTAGCCAAAATTTGTTACCTCACACTAAATTCTCATCCTGTCCATAAAAGTCCATCAGCATGGATTTAGCAGTTTAAATTCCTATCTGTGTTTCTAAAATGTGATCCTTTTCAGACCACTATCTTAATTATTTTTCTGTTGATTGCTTCCTGTGCAGCTGCTTTGAACTTCATGGAGATTTGGTCTTCTGATCGCCACTTCTTACCCACGGAGACTGAAATTGTAATTCTGCTTATCCTTATCACCCACCTTGAGAAGTTATAGTTTCTTGATCTGATTTCCCATTTCTAATCCTAAATCTGGGGACTTTTATGAATATTAATCACTGTGCAATATTGCACCGCAGCAATGCTGAAAACATGAGGACTGTACAGTATGACTTAATCACATTATTTAAATATAAAAGATTCAGTTAGGTCTATGAAGGAGAAATAATCCTAAACTATAGCCATTCAGCTTAATTGAGTACAGTATTATAGGTAAGTATTGTTTCAAGGAGTGGAGAAGATTATGTGAATTGCTCTGGAAAACCAGTAAGGCTTTTAGCTCCTATGGTTCTGCTTCGTCTACCAGCTTGCTCTGTTTCCCACTGTGGTATGCCTGTAGATAAATACTCTGCAAGAAACGTTTACTCCAGGCTTTTGCTGGATCACAACCACGAAAGTGATCAGCTAGAACAGAGAAAATTAAAAAGCTTAAGGATTAAAAAGTTTGTTAATTTCAGGGAGAATGAATATTACGAATAACTAAAAACTTTTCTTAATGGAAATGGCTTTTGAGTTAGAAAAGCATTAGAATGAAAATTGCTATTCCCTCCTACTCTGCTTTCTCATTGTATGATAAATGATAGTCAGGTTTGCTGCACTAGCCAATTTCCATATTTTTGAGATATTTTTCTGGTGGCCATTGTTATACAAAGTCAGTTTATCATTTACACTGCCCATTAACTATTTTTCTTACTTTTTTCTTTCTGTCTTTCTCATGCATTCTCTTTCACTCTTTGTCAGTCAAATACATGCAATCTAGGATTTTTTAAAACCATACTGCAATTTGAAACTTGGATATTCATTATCACATTACTATTACTATATAGATTACCTAGTCAAAAGGCAGCATGGAAATATGCTGGCCAAATTAGCAAAGAAATATGAAAGATTATCAGTTGCTAGGCAATAAGTTAGTTGCTTAGGTTTTTTTTTTTGTGTTTTTTTTTTAGCTAAAAAGAAGAAAACAAAAGGTGGAGAATCAGTAGATTAGGTGGATAGGTATGACAAGAACATTTTCCCCATGCTATCAATAAAGATTTCCTCTACATAAACTGGTTTTAGTTTGAATCTGTTTAGATTTGTAATCTCCAGGAATGAATGACAAATAAAGATAATGATTTTTACTGATCCTCTAAGTTAACAAAAAAAGCCATTGTGCTGTGGTACAATTTACCTCTTCAATAAAGACATTTCTAAGTGATGAGAAGGATTGCCGATTTTCATTTGACAAAATTTTATTATGGTAAACTTTGCTTTCTCAAATTTAATTTACTGTGACACTAAAATGTAATATTGCAATAAATTCTCCATGGGTCTCCGTCTATACTAAAACTTTTCTAAACTGCTAGAAAGATCATTCTTTGGTTGGCTTTTTAATGTTCTGGGACCAGCAAAAAGGAGATTATGTTATACATTTTTACTTCTATTTCTGGTAAACTTACTGGTTTTGATAAAACCCAAAGCACTTGCTGCTAGGGCATTTATGAAAACAGACACATTGTAAGCTATCAGGGTTTTTAATTTTTCATTCATTCATTTATTCAGCACACTTAAATTGTGCGAAACACTACCTAAACACTGATGAGGGGTGAGAAGGAACACTGCCATACTATCAGATTGCTCCTTTGCTGTTAGAGACCAAGATTCAGGAAGGTAGACATTGCAGGGTTTATTGTAAACCAAGTCGGCTTCTCCTTCAGTTTTCTGTGCTATGAACTACACCAAGTCCCAGGCACATCATATCATCCATCTACCTGCAGCACAGCTACTGAGCACTAAATATGCACCCTGTAGGCCGGGCGCGGTGGCTCAGGCCTGTAATCCCAGCACTTTGGGAGGCCGAGGCGGGCGGATCACGAGGTCAGGAGATCAAGATCATCCTGGCTAACACGCTGAAACTCGGTCTCTACTAAAAACACAAAAAATTAGCCAGGTGTGGTGGTGGGCGCCTGTAGTCCCAACTACTCGGGAGGCTGAGGCAGGAGAATGGCGTGAACCCAGGAGGCGGAGCTTGCAGTGAGCCGAGATGGTGCCACTGCACTCCAGCCTGAGCGACAGAGCGAGACTCTGTCTCAAAAAAAAAAAAAAAAAAAAAAATGCACCCTGTATTCTGGGAGAAAGAAATGCACACCCAATCTGAAACATCGGATGGTTTCAGAATGCCATTAATATATTAATTGTCAAAAATGTAAGCTAATATTTGCCTCACTCTTCTTTTATATATATTCTCTTAGAACCTAGAGTCTTCTTGAGGCACCTCTTAAGATTATTAAATGTGTGGTCTTAAAAAGTTAATGTAACTTTCAAAAGTTTTAAATGTAAAACCAGGTGTACCTAAACCACTGGGGAAATCTGGCTCAATTTGAATTATCATTTTTCACCCATTCTACTTTATGCTTGGTTTCTCTTGAAATCTTCTTCTCAAGTACAGGCAAAGTTCCTGTCATTAGGGAGCTACTGTTGTGTGAAGTCAGCAAGTGCATTTCAAACTTTAAAATATGCATTAAGGGAATTATATTTGCAGTCAGTAATTGCAGTATGCTCTAAAACCCTGGCCTAACAGGTCCAAGGACAATGCTGTAGTTGTGTTTATAATAACGACTTGCTATAACAACTTTATGTAAACATGATCTCAGTAAGCGTTCATTTCATAATGACTTCGGCTATCAATACTCTATCTACTTAGTTATCAGAAACTGTCAATATGCCCTTCACCTCACGTTCTTAAGTGACAAGTTCCACTTCTCCAGCTTGTTATTTATTTGTTAGCTTTATTGATTTAAATTCCTTCTCTGCTTCTATTCTTATGTCTAGAAGAGAATAATATTAGCACACACTTTGTGACAAAGATTCAATAACAAGCTTAAAGTGATCACTATGGGATCAATCTGTAAGGTCAAGGAAAAATGAAGGGATATAAGTATACAACACTGTGTTTACCACTATTCTTAATTTACACCAAGCCAACTGCCATGAATGTAATTTTCAAATTCAGACATTTCATTTTCAGCTAATAAGGAACCCACTCCTATCATTTAACAAACATTTTTGAGGACCTACTATGTTCTTGCCACTGGATTGGGTATAGAAAGATGAATATGACGTGCTCTTTCTTCATATCCTCGTGAGAGAAAGCAATTTTACAAAGAATCACGCTACAAAGAAGTGAGTACCAAAGTAAAAATATGAATGTTTTTCATGTTGAATTTTGAGATATATAATTACAACTGCTTCCTAAGGAGAGCCTTAAAAATGAAAGTCCTTGATAGGATTGTGTAGGCAAAGTTGAAACAGAGGCTCAAGAGTTAAATTTCTTTGCATCATAGAAGTAGGACAATTTGACAATTCAGGAGAGAGATCTAGGACAACACTGCCCAGTAGAAATATAATGTGAATCACATATGTAATTTCGAAAAGTGAGTCACATTTAAAAAGAATAAAACAGGTGAAATTAATTTTAATAATATATTTTATTGAAACCAATATATCTAAAACATTGTCATTTTAACATATAATCAATCAATATTTGAAAAATTATTAATGAGATATTTCATGTTCTTTTTCCCAACTGTCTTCAAAATCTATTGTGTATTTGACACTTGCTGCACATCTGATCTCATACTAGCTACACTTCAAGTGCTCAAGAGTCACCATAGACTACAGGTGACTAGTGGCTAGAGTACTGGACAGTGTAGATCTAGCAAATGAAAGAGGAGAGGAGAATGGGTAAGATGGCAGAAGCATGTGCACTCTGTCATAGGATCTCTCCCACAAACCCCCACAATCTTCAGTGAAGTCCACCATCCTCATAAATGCTTGACATGAGGAATTTGTGCTGTGGAAAATGACAAAGCTAAGTTTCACAAAAGCATTGATGTGGTGTGGGACAAATGCAACAATACTTTTTTTTTTTTTTTGAGATGGAGTCTCACTCTGTCACCCAGGCTGGAGTGTGATGGTGCAATCTCAGCTCACTGCAACTTCCGCCTCCCAGGTTCAAGCGATTCTCCTGCCTCAGCTTCCTGTATAGCTGGGATTACAGGCGCACACCACCACACCCAGCTAATTTTTGTATTTTCAGTAGAGATGGGGTTTCACCATGTTAGTCAGGCTGATCTTGAACTCCTGACCTCGTGATCCACCCACCTCAGCCCCCCAAAGTGCTGGGATTACAGGCGTGAGCCACCACGCCCGACAAGTGCAATAATATTTTTAAAGACAAGAAGGCATGAAGGGCGTGAATATGTAGCTGAAGAGGTCTGGGAGTTGTTATTAAGAGATAAACCAGACAGATGGTGTGAGAATAGGAAGTACTGTGTATACCATGCACAGGGGTTTGGTTTTATGTCGGATACAAGAGGGAACCATGGAGTAGGCTTAGGCCTGAGAATATATAATTAGATTTCTGTTTATCATTTTCACTTGGATGTCTTACAGGCACTTCAAACTCAACATTATGAAAATTTAACTCATTGAACCATTCCTTCAAACCTGTTATTTCTGTTTCTTAATTCCTCCTGCTCCTTTAATCTTCTAAGCCTATCTCCTAATATCCTGCAAAACACTACTTTCCTCTTTTTCTACTGCCCAATCCTATTCTGTATCATGACTATCTCCCAACTGGATTACTACAATTGGTCTCCCTCTTCCAACTTGATCTATTTTAATCCATTCTCCACAGAAGTATAGATTTTTCTAAAATGCAAAGTAAATTATAAAGTTTCATGTTAGTCTCCTGCTTTTCTTAGAAGAAATTCGCATTCTCCTTAAATTAGTTTAGATGCTGAATGGTCTGAATGCTGATTACCTCTCCAGTTTTATTCCCATTTTCTTTTTTTCCACCCTCCACTGCAGCCATATTAAACTTCTTTTAGTCCATCAATTGTGCCTACCACATCAGGGCCTTTGGCAGGGGCTGCATCCTCCGTATTGAACATACTGTCTAATTGTTTTGGTCTCTATATACATGACCTTCTCCTAGGAAGTATTTCCATGTGTCCCCAAGTGTAGATTGAATTACTCTCATATATGGCTATCTAGAACTCTGTACTTCCCCTATAACACATAGCAGACTGTTTTATAATTTCTCACGAATGTGATAATTTTCCAGTGAACTATTTTCTCCCTTAACAAAAAGGGTAACCATGTCTTTTCTCCTGTGATATCTCTAGTGCAAACCACATCTGGTACAGATTAGATACTCAGTAAATGTGTGTTGAATGATCAATTTATATCAATAGATTGGAGTGTTAGAGAGATCAGAGAAAGGTATCAAGTTAGGTTACTGCAATACTCTATATAGTAATAGGTGTTGAAAGCTTGAACTAAGGTAGGAGTACAAATAATGGGTGAGGGATGAATGAGATACAGTGAAAGACATATAGAAAGTAAATTTGCCAGAGCCTGGTAACTAACTGGATGTTGGAGGTAAAGAAGAGGGAGTTTAAAATGATTCCCAATTTTAAATCTGAGATGGTTAGTGATGTCAATAAAAGAAGAAACACAAAAAGATCAGCAAGCTTGTGTGTAGGGAAGTTACAATAAGGTTGTAAAGAAATAATGAGATCTGTTGGACACATTTAGTTTGAGGGCACAGTAGGAGATTCAACTGCTGATTGAGAGCCTCCAGCTGAAAGTAAAGCTCTGAAAATTCAGGAAAGTAGTAGGAAGTGAAAATAGAAAGTTGAAAGTCATTGATCTACAAATGATAGTTGAAGTCACAGGAATGGGTAAAATCGAGAAGCAAGATTATGTTGAATGAAAAGGGAAAGAAAAAATGAGGACAGCACCTCAAGAGCCCCCAGTTGTAGGGATTTGGCTGAAGAACGAAAGCCATAGTACTGCTGGTCAAAAACGGAAGGTTGAACACATTTGTCTATGTTCAGTCCATCTATAAGCCACATTAAAATAAAAATACAGGAATTGTATTTAAAAGGATAACTCGTAAGAACAAGCAGAACAGGAGCAAGACAAGAAAAGAAGAAAAGAGTATAAAATTTTGGGAGGGAGTAAACATTTGCACAAATGATAACTTAGCAAGCCTGGGGGGAAATACCACAATGAAACCTTAATCCAGTATGGAGAATGTTCGAGATCCAAATCAATTTATAATACCTAACCCCCAAATGGCTCAGTAAGAACTGGCCATGCTGTATACTTCAGAGCTGGAGTAAAGCTCCACCCACATGCTCAGTGCTTCCATTTAAATTGTTAGTTGCCAACCCTTCGGTTTGAACAGTCAAACCAAATATTACCAGGCCACAAAAGAGAACTTTTATTATGAAATACAAAAACCGAGGCAGACAGCTAAAACTTGCAGGAGACAGATTTTGCAGGCAGAATAAAATTCCCAGGAAAATTACTGTTAATATTCTTAGAAAATAAAACAAAATACTGCAACCATGAGTAAGAACAGGATATCATTTTTTAAAGGGAACATTTCAAGAACCAAATAGGGATGCATTTCTAAAAAGTTATAAATTTGAGAGCAGAAATTAAAAATCCAAAAAGAGAAGTTTGAAGAGAAATTTAGGAAATATTCTAGAAAACTGGGCAAAAAAAGACAAATAGATAAAAATAAGAAAATCAAAGTCTGGTCTAGAAATTATAATAAAATAGGTGTTCCGCAAAGAGAAAACAGGAAAGAGACAGGAGAAAACCACTTGTATTAGTTTCCTATGGCTGCTATAACCAATTCCCACAAACTTGGTGGCTTAAAACAACACAAATTTATTATTTTACAGTCAAGAGGCAAGAAATCCAAAATCAGTTTCACTAGGCTAAAGTCAAGGTGCTTGCAGGGCTGGTTCTTCCTGGAGGCCCTAGGGGAGAATCCATTTCCTCGACTTTCTCAGCTTATAGAAACTGCTTATATTCCTTGGCTCATGGTTCCTTGCCTTTATCCTCAAAGTGCATTACTTCAACCTATGCTTCTGGCATACATCACCTTCACTGATTCTGACTCCTCTGTTGTCTGCTTACAAGAATTATCAGGCCCACCCAGATAACCCAGGATAAACTTCCTATCTCAAGACACTTAACTCCATCACATCTGCGAAGTCCTTTTTGCCATAGAAGGCAGCATTCCCAGGTTCCAAGGCTTGGGACATGGGCATCTATGGCAGGCAGAGATGGGGCATTATTCACCCTGCTACACCATTGATGAAATAATTCATGGAAATTTCCCACAACTGAAAGATCTTACTTTGGAGATAAAAAGGACATCCCACTACCCAGCACAGGGATGAAAACAGAGCCACAACAAGCACTGTATAGTGAACTTTTAGAATATTAGAGAGGTATGAAGATCCTATAGGCTACAGGATAAATCATAATGACTTCACTCTTCTCAAGACCACTGGACATTAGAAGACAGTGAATCAATACTTCAAACAGTTTAAGGAAATTATTTTCAACTTAGTATTCCATAACCAACTAATCTACTATTCAAGCATCTAATTAGTGTAATCCTGATATCAAAACCTGACAAAGACACTATAAAATATAAAAATCTGGCTGGGCGTGGTGGCTCATGCCTGTAATTCCAGTAATTTGGGAGGCCAAGGTGGGTGGATCACCTGAGGTCAGGAGTTCAAGACTGGCCTGGACAACACAGTGAAACCCTGTCTCTACTAAAAATACAAAAAGTAGCCGGGCGTGGTGGTGGGTGCCCGTAGTCCCAGCTACTCAGGAGGCTGAGGCAGGAGAATTGCTTGAACCCAGGAGGCAGAGGTTGCAGTGAGCCGAGATTGAGCCACTGCTCTCCAGCCTTGGTGACAGAGCAAGACTCCATCTTGAATAAACATAAATAAAAATAAAAATCTAGGTCAACATCTCTCTTAGATTAAAAAATCCTAAATGAAATATTAGCAAAACAAATCCAGCAATATATTAAAAGCATAAGACATCAACACCAGGTAAAGTTTATTCCCAGAAGGCAAGGTTAGTTTAACATTTGAAATACAATCAGTGTATATTACCACAATGTATATTACCACATCAACAGAATAAAGGGAAAAAACAACATACCAATAGACTAAGAAAAAGCAATTGAGAAAATTTAATATCCATTTATGGTTAAAAAAAAAACTCAAAGCAAGCCAGTAATACAAAAGAACTTTCTTAGTCTGCTGAAGGGCATCAAAGAAAAGCTTACAGAGAATACTAAACTTAATGGTGAAATATTGTACAGTTTCCCACTAAGACAAGCAAAGTGAGACAAATAAGAATGGTCATTATCACCACTTCTAGTAAAATGAGGAAAAGATATATAAAAGATACAAATATTTAAATAGAAGGAGTAAAATAGTCATTATTTGGAGATGATATTTCTATGCATGTAGAAGATCCAAAAACTTCTATAAACTATTTAATAAGCATATTGAGCAAGGTCACTGGACACAAATTTGACATACAAAAATATGTTGTATTTTATATACTACCAACAAAATAATTGAGAAATGAAAAATAAAACTTTTTAAAATACCATTTCCAGGCCAAGTGTGATGGCTCAAATTCCAGTGCTTTGAGAAGTTGAGGCAGGAGGATCACTTGATGCCAGGAGTTTGAGATTAGTCTGGGCAACACTGCAAGACCCCATCTCTACCAAAAAAGTAATTAGCCAGGTGTGGTGGTGCAAGCTTGTTAAGTCCTAATTACTTCAGAGGCTGAGGCAGGAGGATCACTTAAGCCTAGGAGTTCAAGACTTCATGAGCTATGATTACACCCCTGCAACAGAGTGAAACCCTCTCTCCAGAAAATAAAGGAAGAAAACCTATTTCCAAAAACGTCAAAAAATATGGGATGAAAACAACAGGAGAAAATAAAACTCCAAAACAATATGGGAGTAAATTCAACAGAAGTTGTAGAAGACCTCTATCTTGAGAAATATAAATATTGCTGAGAGAAATTGAAAAACATCTAAATAAATGGGATAACATGTTTATGAATTAGAAGAATCAATATTGCTAAGATGTCAATTCCTGCCCAAAAAGTTATATAGATTTTATTCAATCCCAATTATATTCCCTGGCTGGAAGTTTTTTGTTTTGTTTTGTTTTGTTTTTGGTGAACATTGATGAGCTGATTTTAAAATTTATATGAAACTTCAAAAAACTTGTAACAGTCAAAGACAATCTTGAAGAAGAATCAACTTGGAGAACTTACATTTCCAGATAGCAACATTACTATAAATCTACAACAAATGAGACCATGTTAATGGTCCAAAGATAGAAAAATACATCAACAAACAGAACAGAGTATAGAAAGAGACCTACAGATAAATAGTCATCTAATTTACTCCAAAGATGCTACTGCAGTTCAGCAGGGCACATGCTGTTTTTCTCAATAAATGGTGCTGGAAATTGAGCATCCATACGGAAAAACAATAAATCTTGACCTACTTTATACCATATACAAAAATTAACTTTGGTAGCTCATAGAGGTGTTCTTCTTCTAGGAGAAAATATAAGATAATTTTTGTAATCTAGTAAAATATTAAGCAGAAATAAAAAAATAAAAATCATTGGTAAATACAATGATATGGATGAATCCCAAAAACATATTGAATGAAAAAATATAAATACAAAAAGGCACAAACAGTATGATTCCATTTATATGAGGTTCAAGAAGGTAAAATTAATCTATGTTACACTAGTCAGAATAGTAATAACCCCTAAAGGGTACATATTAAATGGCATGGGCACTGAACATCCTTTTTAGCTGATGGAAATATTCTATATCTTAATTTGGGTGGTGTATACAAGTATATACATATGTAAAAAAATTCATAGGAACTATTTTTAAGCCTTGTGCAACCTACTATATAAAAGTTATACCTCAATACAATTTAAAGGGCTTAATTGAGATTCTAAGTGTCAGGGTAGAATAAAACACATTTTTAGACATGTGAAGTCACAAACTATTTGCTTTCTGTGAAAACTACTTGGGGATGGTATTCTATAGAATGGGAGGGCAAACTAACATTAAGGAAGATCTGAAATAGAAAAAAACAAGAGATCTAATGTAAATGACGAGTTAATGGGTGCAGCACACCAACATGGCACATGTATACATATGTAACAAACCTGCACATTGTGCACATGTACCCTAGAACTTAAAATATAATCAAAGAAAAAACAGGAGATCTAACAAAGAAGAGGTGACAGAGTTCCCAGCAGGACAGTCAATAAATCCCCCAATTACACCCCGGATGTGGAGGGAAAACAGCCCAACCTAGAGCAAGCCCTAGGAGAGATGCCTCCAAAAATATTAATTTGATAGAATATCAGAAACATCTGAACATCTAAAGAGGCAATTTAGGCAATTGCCGAGAGTTTGAGGTTTAGTTAACAGAAGGCACAAAGAAGAGCAAAAAAATGAATAAATGAGACAATCATTTATTTCCAGGAAAGTGAAAACTTGTATAGGAAAAATAATGTAAACATAGTTTACTAACATGGTTCCTTAAACATTATTTATATGGTTACAATCGGGTAACCACTGAATATTTATCTAACCAACTTATAACCATATTGAGGGGCTGGCAAGTTGTACATAATAAATGTACATATGAAGGAGGGAAAGAAAAGAGGCTAAATAGCTTTGTCCCATTTAGTGGGAAGTTAAGAGATGATGCCTAAAACAGAACAACCGAATGCAGTGTTGTAAGCATTTTTATGTCAGCACATCAAATAAATAGCAAAATAATTGGCTAAGAGGTGAAAGGAGTTACCTCTGGGGTAGGAGGAATGGTGGGAAGCATGACTGGTAATTGATACTTTGTAGTAAACCTGGCAGAATATTTCAACTCCTTAAATTAATGTGCTTGTATAATCTTGATTGAAATAACAACTTCAAAAATTTTCAAAAAGAGGAAGAGTGATGAAATAGAATCTGAAAAGAGATGATCAGAGTCAGGAGATGAACTTCAGAAGAACTAATGTTTGGACTGAGTGATAAATGGCTCCTGATCATGGTCTAGATGGAACATCTCAAGGTTTTCAAATTAAGTTTTCAATGCTCTACCCTTGCATTTTAAACCTATCATCTTTCAGAGCAACACCTTTCTTTTTTGAAACTCCTTTTTCTCAATGCAAAATTCTTTAAATAATTTTTGAAGCATTCTGTCAGTATTTTGTGCTTGCTGGGAAAAGAAATTTTCTTCTTTTTATTATTGCTATCTCTCAACACCTTCAGTAGAGAATTTATTGCTTATTAAAGCAGATGACATTCCCTGAGAGTTTTCAGGAATTATAAACAATTACAGGAAAGAGAGGAGTTTCCATTACCAAAAGGGCCGTAATGATAGAATCCACTACTGAATATGCCAGCAAGATCATAGAGTTTAGAGAGCAAGCACAGTGTTTTAACCTTTATTCTAGCTCATAGAAGATGATGCAGTATTCTATTATCCACAATGACAAGTGATTTATTGGGATACTTTCTTTTCTTCCAAAGTGTTTTAAACCATTGTTTTTTTCTCCAATTGCACTGATTTTTCATCTTTGTACATGCACGGGGCTGTAAGCATTTGAGGGATCATTTTTTCAAAAATCAACATTCTCACCTCTAGAGATATTCACCTTGTTAATGCTACATCACAAATTGAGGTTTGCCAGTGTTGCATGCCAGAACAGCTTTTATTTAGGCAGATTTTGTTAGTATCCTAGTTGAAAATTAACCATAGGCTTTGGAAATCTGTTCCTACAAACATTTCCCTAAAAATCTGCTTTCTGAAATCTTATTTTAAGAAAAACCATGATGTAGGGAGCCAGATATTTTTGCTAAAAGAAAAATATTTTAAAATAGGATTCCCAAAAATTGAACGATGCAGGGAGCAGATTAAAGGCTGATAGTGGGACTGTAATGGTTATATATCGTGTCATTTTTCAGGCCTGAAATTCTGGTGTAGGCTTTCTTTTCCCTTAAGGGAGGTGAGATTATCAGTCTTGTGGTAATGGATCAGAAAACCATCAGACAAACGGTTTTGCTGAGCTTCTGAAATGAGAACAAAACATTTAAGGACCTTTCCTCCTAATGTTCCTCTCCAATGGAGAGAAAGACCCATACTTCAAGTCACTTCTAGAGTGGCAGATTAATATTTAGTTTTCAGGTAGGGAGTTGGGGGGATTATTAGAATGCTGAGTCAAATGGTGCTTTGCAACATTGATATCTTTTTGACAAATTGCCCAGATTTCATGGTTAATGAGCCATTGTTATCTGTGCTCTGTAGATGTACAAAATTAAAGTTCTGAAAGACTAAAGACTGCCACCCTAGTGCATTTTCCATTTTCAATTGCCCTTAGTAATTTTGCTATATACTAAAATTTAGAAATATATATGTATGAAATGGGGAAAAATTATAAAGGAATAATGCATTACTAAGGTAACAATCAGTATAGTTTCAGGTTGCTTTTATTTTAAAATTTATAATCTAGCAAGAAGGAAGTCTTAGGTATTGATATATAAATCTTAGATTAAGGAACAAAAGAATTGGATTCTAGCTACCTAGCTGAGTGGGTTTCGGTAAATTAATTTTTATGCATCTAGGTCTTGATCGTCATCCAAAAATAAAGTGAAAAGATAGAGAGATGAACTCTAAAAATGCTTGTAACTCCAAAAATGTTTGTATTTTTGAAATACCACAAATACTATGAAATATTAATCTGCAATTTTTCCTGTTTAAAATATTCTAAGATTTTATCTATGCCCATTTAATAATTTTTATCTATTTGTTTTACTATTAATCTTTTGATTTACATAGACTTTAAAATCACATACATAAAGAACATTAGAAAAATTTGTTGATAATCAAGTGTATTTCAGATGAATTACAGTGTTGAATGTAAAAATAAATGAATAAAACTACATATCAATGAAGAAAAATCCAACAAGAACAAATATAAATATAATCTTGTTTTCAATAATATCATTTTAAGCTAATACCAAGGCAGAAATTACAAAGAAAAAGATTGATAGCATTGTCTGAAAAATTAAAAACAAAATTAAAAGGCAAAATACCTGTGCTGAATGTGTAGAAAAAGATAATATCTTCAAAATCAGTAGAAGATTATAAACATCCTAATATTAACATGAGCAAAGTAAGGGGAAACGTAGTCAACTGTACTTAACATCAGTGAACTGTAAATAAATATGAAAAACTGCATATCAGTTGGGTATTTTTCAATGTTTTATAATAACATTCAGTTAGAGGAGGTTCTGGAAATGAGTACTCATATACTGTTAATGGACATGTTAGGTGGAAAAAATTCTGGAGTGTATTTTGACAATATGACTCTTATGTCTGAGAATTTTGCTTTCCATTGCATTCAACAAGTCAATTTTGGAGACTATGGTCTAAAAGAGTATCATGAGCGTACTTGCATCTGGATGGGGTGAAATGCCACTGGAGGGTTTTAGACAGAGGAGAGAAATGATCTGACTGATGTGTTGAGAACAGACAGCAAGTGGCAAGAGGAGGAAGCAATGAGGCAAGTCACAAAGCAAAAAGTAATGGCAGCTTAGAAGGATAATATTAAGATAAAAGAAAAAATGTTCAGTTTAGTGTTAAGCACAAAAAGTAAGTTAGGTTACAAATCACCATGAACAGTCTGCCTCTATTTGTGTTCAAAATATAATTATGTCCATAGATAACAGGTTATCTCTAAGAAGAATTTTTTTGTTTTTTAATATCTCTATATTTTCAAACATATACACGTAACTTCACATTTTATAATCAGAAAATGTAAAACATATTACAAATATAACTATATATCTTGAGTCAGAAGTTCCCAGGACATGGAGCTGTAACATAACTAGCACAAACTGACCCAAGAAAATAAATTTATCTCAACACTTGGGTTGTTCGGTGCCCATTAAGTCACATGGCTAAATTAAAGGAAGAAAAAGTCACAAGAATTTGAGCATGTTGTGATTTGGACCATGTAACCAAAGTACATACAGGATCCTAAAGAGGCCTCTCAGCAAACTCTTGCCATGCAAATAAGTTTAAAGCTCAGTGTTATATTATACTTAAAATTTTGAAATTTGGTATTAGAAAACAAAGTCCAACAAATTATTCAAAAGCAAAGTTTATATAACTAGAAAAAAATGAATGAGTGACAGAGAAAAAGAAACTTTCCAAATGGAGGTAGTATGTGTGCAGCCCAGCATGATCATTTTATTTGATGTTAAAATTATGGCATTAATTAAGTTGTTATTAAATTGCTCTAATATTATGAAAGATTTCAGCCATATTAAAAAGTATAGGTTTAATAAACTACCTAGTTTAAGAAAAACTTCCATTCATCTCTCTCCCTACCTCAAAATAGCCATTATCCTAAATTTGGTGTTTGTAACTTCCAAGTATGTTTTTATAATTTTACTGTATAAACTATGTATGTACATATAAGTGTTGTTGTTCATGTCTCTATTCTTTACAAAATAGTAGCATACTATACTTATGCCATATATAGTATGTATATATATATATATGCAAGATTATATTTTTAGATTATCTATATTGTAATTTGGCTCTAATTCATAATTTTAATTGTTTTATTTTAATGAATTAATATGACAAAATTTATGTATTCATTCTCCTGTGGATATATATATCTAAGTTTTTTCCAATTTTTCAAACAATGTTTCAACATTCCTATATGTATCTCCTGTATACATATAAAGAAGTGTCCCTAGATTATATACATGGGAATGGAATTTTGGGGTTTTAAGGTTATGCACATCTTTAGGTTTGCAATACGTGGCTTCAATTGCCCTCCAAAGTCATTGTACCAATTTATACTCTCACCAACAGTGTTTACAGTGTCTTATGATATATAGAATCTTTTAAATTTAGATTAATCTTTTTGATGCTAAGTCTTAAGAAATCCATCCCTAGTGTGATGTCAAAAATATTTTTTCTATGCTTTCTTCTGAAAGGAATTTAGTTTCATTTTCATGTTTGAACCTTTAATACACCTGGAATTGGTTTTTGTTTATGTTGTACTCTATAGATTCATTTTTGTTTCCCTATGAATAACCTACTGATTTAACAAAATCTGAAGTTAATCTGCATCTCTACCCTCCTTCAGGAAGAAAAACAACAATCCAATGTACCCTTAAAAAGCTCTAAATTCCATGAAACCTGGCTTCTAAAGTTATTTGTGGCTGCTTCAACCCAGTGTATAAATCACCTACAGAGTGTAACACTGAGCCCCAAATTAATGTGAAGGCAGACCTATATTTGCAAATTATCAGAGGAAAAATTCTGCCAAACCAACTCCCAGTTCAGGCTGAAAGAGGTAGGTTGGCTCCCTGTGCCATGGGATAGATATTTTTCTGGTTCACCCTTGACCTATTCACTGGTGTTGCAACCTGATGATCGTTTTTCATTTTATTTTCTGTTTCTTTTTCAACTCCCTGGCTCATGTAGATCCACGGCATCATTTTCTGTCCCTAAAGAGTGTTAAATTCCAATTCTTGTTACTGAGAGATGGAACCAGCCCCGACCCCGACCTTTCAAGGTGGTTGCCACATTACCTTTTGCTCCAGGAATTTTTTCCTCATTGTTTATCTCCCTTGAGATTTTCCAATTCTTTTGGGAGCAATTAAATAGATAGTTGTTACATTTGATTTAGTGTTTTTAGGTATTTAAAAACTGAAGGCCGCTTGAGTTATCTAATATCCCCTATCCAGAAAATGAAGCCCTCTAAGTTGTTTTAATATGTCAAGATTGGCTGTCATATTTAACATTCAATTCAATGCTGAAGATAGTTTTAGGGTTACTAAAAATGAAATTTAATCTTCCATATATGATTCATTGAGAAATCTTTATATTCATGTCACATTCAAAATGGCTCTCGTCCTTTCTTAGATCTTTGTTAGCTTCTTTTTTCAGAGGCCAAAGATAAAGAATGTGGTTACTTTCAAAGCTCTGTTATTTAACTCAATTTATGAAGGTACTTAAATTTATATAAACACAAATTGATGTAAATGTTTATCTTACTCATCTCATCTTACATTTTCTTGATTTTTATTGGGCTACGATGTATCACGATCCACAAAAATTCAAGAAGTCAGTTCAGTTATTTTGTCATTTTCCCACTATTCCCATGCCTAGCCTATGCCACAGTAAAGCAAACTAGAGTGCATTTTCCATCCAAATGTAAAATATTTTTCTGCCTCTGAGCCTTTGCTTATGCTTTAATCTGTCCACATGCCCTTATCCACCACTCCTCAAGTTCAATATTCAACACCCTACACATCCTACAAGGCCTCTTTAAATGTCTATCATCTTTATGAAAGGACTGTTTATTACCCTCAATATGATCTTCAGTCTTTTTCTATAGAACTCCTGTGGTTCTTATCATATTTAAGTTATTGCTTCATTGAGATTTTAAATTTTGTTTTAGTTTAGAAAATAAGAGTCTCTTTTTTTGTATTCTTGTATTTCACGAGCACTTTGAGAACTTGTAGAATGTCAACAAATACTGAAATTGAAGGTAAATAAAAATTTCTATGCAAGTCAAAATGATTGTTTTAAATAATTAGAGTATCATTATCTTAAATATAACCCTTAAAGAGAAGATTTAGAAGTGTTAAATGCTACGTAAAAGATATGACAACATGCTGAATAAACTTCTCTGGATTTCTACAAAATGAAGGTAGTAAACTAGATGTCTCCTAAGATGTCTCCCGTCTCTAATATGCTAATATTATTCATCAACTTCATATACACATTAATGTGTGTATCAATCAGGATGCATAGGGTTCACACTGTGAGAGCACAGGATTCAAACCTACCCAGTCTAGTTCTAAAGTTCATGATTTTAACTACTATGATATACTTCCCAAATTGTACAAGAGGTCTTTATAATCAATAAATATAATTTATTGAATTAAGTTATGAACCAATTTATTAAACATAAATACTATTTTACAATAATAATTTAATTAAACTTAAATTACAATGAATTTATGGTATAAAATTAGAATTTAAATTAATTTATGATATAAAATGTAATAATTTATATATTATATTAATTATATAAATATATTTACTGCATATATAAACCTTCGTACACCTTAGGCAGTATACCATAGCAGTTAAAATAATGGACTTTAGAATCAGACCTGCTGCTGAGGGTCCTGTCTGTTAGAAGGAAGACTAACAAACAGAAAGGACATCCACACCAAAAACCCATCTGTACATCACCATCATCAAAGACCAAAAGTAGATAAAACCACAAAGATGGGGAAAAAAACAGAACAGAAAAACTGGAAACTCTAAAAAGCAGAGCGCCTCTCCTCCTCCAAAGGAACGCAGTTCCTCACCAGCAACGGAACAAAGCTGGATGGAGAATGACTTTGATGAGCTGAGAGAAGAAGGCTTCAGACGATCAAATTACTCTGAGCTACGGGAGGACATTCAAACCAAAGGCAAAGAAGTTGAAAACTTTGAAATAAAATTTAGAAGAATGTATAACTAGAATAACCAATACAGAGAAGTGCTTAAAGGCACTGATGGAGCTGAAAACCAAGGCTCGAGAACTACGTGAAGAATGCAGAAGCCTCAGGAGCCGATGCAATCAACTGGAAGAAAGGGTATCAGCAATGGAAGATGAAATGAATGAAATGAAGCGAGAAGGGAAGTTTAGAGAAAAAAGAATAAAAAGAAATGAGCAAAGCCTCCAAGTAATATGGGACTATGTGAAAAGACCAAATCTACGTCTGATTGGTGTACCTGAAAGTGATGGGGAGAATGGAACCAAGTTGGAAAACACTCTGCAGGATATTATCCAGGAGAACTTCCCCAATCTAGCAAGGCAGGCCAACGTTCATATTCAGGAAATACAGAGAACGCCACAAAGAATCAGACCAAATAGATTTGAAACCTGTCCTTCACACTCATTGTGTGATGTTGAGCAACTTGCTTAAGCCCTCTCTTTCTTATTATAGTTTTATGATCTGTAAAATCTGAATAGAG
Organism: Homo sapiens; assembly: GCF_000001405.40. Taxonomy (NCBI): domain Eukaryota; kingdom Metazoa; phylum Chordata; class Mammalia; order Primates; family Hominidae; genus Homo; species Homo sapiens. The sequence continues at coordinate 129,187,212 of NC_000004.12, read as the reverse complement.
TACCTGCTTCACAGGGTTTTGTGTGTATTAAATGAGTGTACACAAGTAAACTACTCTTTGCCAAGAGCATAATAAGTACTCAATAAAAGCTCATTATTGTTTTTCTTACATCTATATACTTGAAAATAACTATCAAACACTCGATTGATGTTGGTGACTGATTATGTTTTAAGAAAAAACAACTAATTTTTCCTAAAACTCTCTCATCCCCACATCAGAGAATAGAACTATAAATCTAAAGTGAACTCTCTCTCCCTTTACAATTCCAGAACCATTTATCTGTTTTTTCAAAATAGGACCAAATGTGTTTTTGTACCTATCCTAACACTTTGACAGATAATCATGACCCATTTATCTCTATCACTCAAGTTTTTTATCTATCAATATAAAATATGTTACATATCTTTATATTTATAGATTTCCTCACCCAACAGATGTTCAGAAAAATCTAAAGCCCTGGCATAAAATTTCTTAGCCTTCTGATTTTAATGTAGCCTTGCTACGTTTTCTATTTTAAATTGTGTATAGGGATGCTAAGGAACTTATTAATAAGAAGTTACTTCTAGGACTGGCACAATATAGAATATAAATTTCATTGCATTTTATGTTAACAATGTTTATGGATTGGAAGAATTAATATTATTAAAATGTCCCTACTACCCAAAGCAGTCTACAGATTCAATGCAATCCGTATCAAAATTCCAATGTCATTTTTCATAGAAGCAGGAAAAAAAAAAGCCCTAAAATTTATATGGGACTACAAAGAAACCAGAATGAGCCAAGGCAATCATGAGCAAAAAGAACAAACCTGATGGTATCATACCACCTGTTTTCAAACTATACTACAAAGCTACAGTAATTAAAACAGCATCATAGTGACAAAAAATAGACCCACTGACCACTGAAACAGAATAGTGAGCCCCAAAATGAACTCACATGTGGACAGTCAACTGCTTTTCAACAAATGTGTCAAGAATATGCAATGGGAAAAGGATAGTTCCTTCAATAAATGGTGCTGGCAAAACTGGATATCCACATGCAGAAGAATGAAATTGAAATCTTGTCACATACCATATACAAAAATCAACTCAAAATAGATTAAATACTTAAGCATATGACCAGAAACTATAAAACTACTAGAAGAAACATGGAGGGAAACTACACAACATCGGTCTGGGCAATGATTTCTTGGATTTAACCCCAAAAGTACAGGGAACAAAAGCAAAAGTAGAAAACTGGAAATACATCAAATTAAAAAGCTTCTGCACAGCAAAGGAAACAATTAACAGTGTGCAGAGACAACCTACAGATTGGGAGAAAATATTTGTAAACCATACACCCTATAAAGGTTTAATATACAAAATATGTAAGGAGCTCAAACAAGTCAGTATCAAGAAAGTAAAAATTCTAATTTAAAAATGGGCAAGGGGCCTAAAAGAGCTCCTGAAGGAAGCACTAAACATGGAAAGGAACAACCAGTACCAGCCACTGCAAAAACATCCCAAATTGTAAAGACCATCGAGGCTAGGAAGAAACTGCATCAACTAATGAGCAAAATCACCAGCTAACATCATAATGACAGGACCAAATTCACACATAACAATATTAACCTTAAATGTAAATGGGCTAAATGCTCCAATTAAAAGACACAGGCTGGCAAATTGGATAAAGAGTCAAGACCCATCAGTGTGCTGTATTCAGGAAACCCATCTCACGTGCAGAGATACACATAGGCTCAAAATAAAGGGAGGGAGGAAGAACTACCAAGCAAATGGAAAACACAAAAAGGCAGGGGTTGTAATCCTAGTCTCTGATAAAACAGACTTTAAAACAACAAAGATCAAAAGAGACAAAGAAGGCCATTACATAAAGGTAAAGGGATCAATTCAAAAAGAAGAACTAACTATCCTAAATATATATGCACCCAATACAGGAGCACCCAGATTCACAAAGCAAGTCCTTAGAGACCTACAAAGAGACTTAGACTCCCACACAATAATAATGGGAGACTTTAACACCCCACTGTCAACATTAGACAGATCAATGAGACAAAGTTAACAAGGATACCCAGGAATTGAACTCAGCTCTGCACCAAGCAGACCTAATAGACATCTACACAACTCTCCACCCCAAATCAACAGAATATACATTCTTCTCAGCACCACACCACACCTATTCCAAAACTGACCACATAGTTGGAAGTAAAGCACTCCTCAGCAAATGTAAAACAACAGAAATTATAACAAACTGTCTCTCAGACCACAGTGCAATCAAACTAGAACTCAGGATTAAGAAACTCACTCAAAACCACTCAACTACATGGAAACTGAACAACCTGCTCCTGAATGACTACTGGGTACATAACGAAATGAAGGCAGAAATAAAGATGTTCTTTGAAACCAACGAGAACAAAGACACAACATACCAGAATCTCTGGGATGCATTCAAAGCAGTGTGTAGAGGGAAACTTATAGCACTAAATGCCCACAAGAGAAAGCAGGAAAGATCCAAAATTGACACCCTAACATCACAATTAAAAGAACTAGAGAAGCTAGAGCAAACACATTCAAAAGCTAGCAGAAGGCAAGAAATAACTAAGATCAGAGCAGAACTGAAGAAAATAGAGACATAAAAATCCCTTCAAAAAAATCAATGAATCCAGGAGCTGGTTTTTTGAAAAGATCAACAAAATTGATAGACCACTACCAAGACTAATAAACAAGAAAAGAGAGAAGAATCAAATAGACGCAATAAAAAAATGATAAAGGGGATATCACCACCGATCCCACAGAAATACAAACTACCATCAGAGAATACTATAAACACCTCTATGCAAATAAACTAGAAAATCTGGAAGAAATAGATAAATTCCTGGACACATACACCCTCCCAAGGCTAAACCAGGAAGACGTTGAATCTCTGAATAGACCAATAACAGGCTCTGAAATTGAGGCAATAATTCATAGCTTACCAACCAAAAAAAGTCGAGGACCAGACGGATTCACAGCCAAATTCTACCAGAGCTACAAGGAGGAGCTGGTACCATTCCTTCTGAAACTATTCCAATCAATAGAAAAAGAGGGAATCCTCCCTAACTCGTTTTATGAGGCCAGCATCATCCTGATACCAAAGCCTGGCAGAGACAACAAAAAGAGAAGTTTAGACCAATATCCCTGATGAACATCGATGCAAAAATCCTCAATAAAATACTGGCAAACCGAATCCAGCAGCACATCAAAAAGCTTATCCACCATGATCAAGTGGGTTTCATCCCTGGGATGCAAGGCTGATTCAATATACGCAAATCAACAAACGTAATCCAGCATATAAACAGAAACAAAGACAGAAACCACATGATTATCTCAATAGATGCGGAAAAGGCCTTCGACAAAATTCAACAATGCTTCACATGAAAAACTCTCAATAAATTTGATGGGATGTATCTCAAAATAATAAGAGCTATCTATGACAAACGCACAGGCAGTATCATACTGAATGGGCAAAAACTGGAAGCATTCCCTTCGAAAACTGCCACAAGACAGGGATGCCCTCTCTCACCACTCCTATTCAACATAGTGTGGAAGTTCTGGCCAGGGCAATCAGGCAGGAGAAGGAAATAAAGGGTGTTCAATTAGGAAAAGAGGAAGTCAAATTGTCCCTGTTTGCAGATGACATGATTGTATATCTAGAAAACACCATTGTCTCAGCCCAAAATCTCCTTCAGCTGATAAGCAACTTCAGCAAACTCTCAGGATACAAAATCAATGTGCAAAAATCACAAGCATTCTTATATACCAATAACAGACAAACAGAGAGCCAAATCATGAGTGAACTCCCATTCACAATTTCTTCAAAGAGAATAAAATACCTAGGAATCCAACTTACAAGGGATGTGAAGGACCTCTTCAAGGAAAACTACAAACCACTGCTCAATGAAATAAAAGAGGATACAAACAAATGGAAGAACATTCCATGCTCATGGGTAGGAAGAATCAATATTGTGAAAATGGCCATACTGCCCAAGATAATTTATAGATTCAATGCCATCCCCATCAAGCTACCAATGACTTTCTTCACAGAATTGGAAAAAACTACTTGAAAGTTCATATGGGACCAAAAAAGAGCCCGCATCGCCAAGTCAATCCTAAGCCAAAAGAACAAAGCTGGAGGCATCATGCTACCTGACTTCAAACTATACTACAAGTTTACAGTAACCAAAACAGCATGGTACTGGTACCAAAACAGAGATATAGACCAATGCAACAGAACAGAGCCCTCAGAAATAATGCCGCATATCTACAACCATCTGATCTTTGACAAACCTGAGAAAAACAAGCAATGGGGAAAGGATTTCCTATTTAATAAATGGTGCTGGGAAAACTGGCTAGCCATATGTAGAAAGCTGAAACTGGATCCCTTCCTTACACCTTATACAAAAATTAATTCAAGATGGATTAAAGACTTAAATGTTAGACCTAAAACCATAAAAACCCTAGAAGAAAACCTAGGCAATACCATTCAGGACATAGGCGTGGGCAAGGACTTCATGTCGAAAACACCAAAAGCAATGGCAACAAAAGCCAAAATTGACAAATGGGATCTAACTAAGCTAAAGAGTTTCTGCACAGCAAAAGAAACTACCATCAGAGTGAACAGGCAACCCACAGAATGGGAGAAAATTGTTGCAATCTACTCATCTGACAAAGGGCTAATATCCAGAATCTACAATGAACTCCAACAAATTTACAGGAAAAAAACAACCCCATCAAAAAGTGGGCAAAGGATATGAACAGACACTTCTCAAAAGAAGACATTTATGCAGCCAAAAGACACATGAAAAAATGCTCATCATCACTGGCAATCAGAGAAATGCAAATCAAAACCACAATGAGATACCATCTCACACCAGTTAGAACGGCGATCATTAGAAAGTCAGGGAACAACAGGTACTGGAGAGGATGTGGAGAAATAGGAACACTTTTACACTGTCAGTGGGGCTGTAAACTAGTTCAACCATTGTGGAAGTCAGTGTGGCGATTCCTCATGGATCTAGAACTAGAAATACCATTTGACCCAGCCATCCCATTACTGGGTATATACCCAAAGGATTATAAATCATGCTGCTATAAAGACACATGCACACGTATGTTTATTGTGGCACTATTCACAATAGCAAAGACTTGGAACCAACCCAAATGTCCAACAATGATAGACTGGATTAAGAAAATGTGGCACATATATACCACGGAATACTATGCAGCCATAAAAAAGGATGAGTTCATGTCCTTTGTAGAGACATGGATGAAGCTGGAAACCATCATTCTCAGCAAACTGTCTCAAGGACAAAAAACCAAACACCGCATGTTCTCACTCATAGGTGGGAATTGAACAATGAGAACACATGTACACAGGAAGGGGAACATCACACACCAGGGCCTGTTGTGGGGTGGAGGGAGCGGGGAGGGATAGCATTAGGAGATAAACCTAATGTTAAATGACGAGTTAATGGGTACAGCGCACCAACATGGCACATGTATACATATGTAACAAACCTGCACGTTGTGCACATGTACCCTAAAACTTAAAGTATAATAAAAATAAATAAAATAAAAATAAAAATGGGCAAGGGGATATATATGCACAATGGAATATTATTAGTCTTAAAAAAGAATGGAATTCTGTCATTTGTGACAACATGGATGGAATTGAAGGATATTATAGAAAATGAAATAAGCCAGGCACAGAAAGACAAATACTGTATATTCTCATTTATATGTGGAATCAAAAAAAAAAACCTCATAGAAGCAGAAAGCAGAATGGTGGTTAGAAAGGCTGGAGGGAGGGGAAAAGGGGTAGATGATGGTCAAAGGGTACAAAATCTCAGTTATACAAGAGGAATATGGAATTTTTTTCAGTTCTATTGCACAACTTGGTGAATGTAGTTAATATGAGTACTCTACATTTCATAATTGCTAAGAGAGTACATTTCAAATGTTCTTACCACATAAAATGTTAAGTATTTGAGGTGATGGATATGTTAACTAGGTTGATTTAATGATCCCATTATAAATACAATAGTATTTATAAATCATAACATAAGTTAAAATTTAAATTTAATTGTAAATTTACAATTTAAACAAAGAATAATCTGGTGCTGAGAATTTGCTACGGAGCAGACACCTAGTAGAACATTTTTCCCCCCTGGAATCCTTCGTATGTTCAAGTAGCCGGTAGTTCAATTCATAATCATTTAATAAAGTGAATATTTGTAGTCTTAAATACTAAGAAAGAAACAGGTTATTAAAAGTTAAAACCCCACTTGCATTTAACAATGTTTACAAAATATAATCCCGCGAATATTGTAATGAGTCCTAGGCTTAAGAGTGAACATTGTGCAAGTTAATGTAAGTAATGAACCTTTCGTGTGAGATGATGTTGTGTCACAACTCATTTGCATCCCACTTAAAGTATAATTAAGTTTCCCTGACAGCATGGCTTATGGCTGAAAGAACAGACCTGGATGCTAAATTAATCCAGAGTCCCTCAGTTAATAACACTCAGCAAAGAAAACTTTATACACTCTTTCATTTAAAGTTTCCAAACTCCCATTTACAGAAGTGTATGACAAGGCAACCCTACTGAGAAACCTTTGCATGAAATGGATGGCCTCTTGCCAGGCAGACTCAGTCACTAAAATACCTGAAAACTGAATTTGGATGAATTGGGACATAAGAATGCGCTATTTTCACTGTAGCTAGGAAGGCTGGTGGTCCAGAAGGGATGATTTCGCATTTAAATTTCACCGCACCATGTATTTAATTTATAGTATGTTTTCAAACTTAAATCTGAAGTGTTGGTAGTTTTAAGATGTTTAACAGGACTGGCCTATAACACTAAGTGCTGTGAAATAATATAATTCATTTTTTATTCATTCTTTAAGGGCTTCAGTTCTTCATATAAGTTTCCAAGTGAATTTATTCAATAAATTCTCTTGAGGTTTTCTGGTATGTCTGTTTGCAGTTGTCATTACTTATTTGTTTTGTTAAGAATCTTCACTTTTTGCCATCTCCAGAACTGATTATGATGCTGCCATAAGATTAGAACTACACTGTGTTGTTTAAACAAGTTTTAGCTAAACAAGGGTTTCATTTATAAATAATGTAAGCCATTTTCAGGGAGGTAGACATGAGGACAGCAAATTTCTCAGGATCAGATTCCACTTCTCTGACAGGGCAACATAAGAATTTTTGCCAACAATAGTTATTCCTTGGTGCTATTATCCTGTTCTGTTTCTGGCCACCCCAGTTCAAAGGCCAATGTGAAAAGAAACACTCTATCTTGAAACGGATGGCTTCAAAATTGACACTTGCTACCACCATAAATAAAGTGGTTTTTTGGAGAGTCATTTTACGTGTTGGTAGCTGGAGAAAGACAACTCAATACACCTCTAACACACACAACACCCTTGAACTCTATGAGTGCCCAACCTGATTATGCCTAATAGATTTACTCCAGTTCCCTAAACCAATATTGTTCAGGGTCTTTCAGGCTAAGTTAGCATTCATTCTGACAGATGGCCTGCATGCTGTCCCTACCAGGAAAGTTGTCACATTTAGAAATTAGATAATAATAAAAGTGTAGCATTGAATAGAAGCTCTAATATTCTCCTCCAAGTGTTTGCATGGTACTGAAATGTCCCCAGGGCAAATTTGCAGCAGCTCATTTTTCTAGATCAGGTCTCAGCATGGTGCAATGTATCACTGGCATTTTAACAGAAACATCAAATGCTCTTTCCTCATTTTCGAAAGAACTATTTCAGGGAACAGAAAATGTGCCAGGAAGGATGAGTCTATGGGAAAGAAGCACCCAAACAATTATTTTCTCTTTATCATTTGTTAGAAGAATCATTACGTAGAAAAACATAAAGAGTAAAATTCATGTAAATATTTTATTTTTGGCATGTTGTTTGATCACTTACAGAGGTAGCAGGCAAAGATTTTACTGCAGCCATCCAAGTGTGGCCAAAAGGTGGTGGTACATGGAGTTCTATTTAAGTGCCTTTCTTTGTGGGTTATAACCCATGTTGTCAGAAGGTAAAGGATCACAACAAAGCTCCCTCCATAGCTCTGAGTCTCACTGCTGCCAGTTATCTCCCATAATCCACTTCAGATTGAAAGGTTTAAAATACTCAAGGTGATGGCTTAAGATCACATTGAAAACAATTTAACTATAAGCATTAAATACACAGCCATGTTTTTCTGTATTCATTAAATACTAGAAAAACTTAAAAGAAAAAAGTGTGCTTTACTTTAAAGTTTATACATAAATCTGTTATTTTAAAACATATTCATTTATATATATTATTTTTCCTATGCAAAAGTTTATAGACCTTGCCACAATATTAAAGAGCAAGAAACCATTCTTTGTATGCTAATTATTAATAAATATATACTTAATTTATATATATATGTATTATATATACACATATATTTTTAAATTCAAATCATACCTGAAAAAGGTTATAAAGCAGTTTATTGAATTTACATGTTAAGACATGTCAAGATGGTCCAACTCTAAGGTTCAATATGTAATAATGAAAATATCCTCTCATGTCATATTTACAGTTTTTCTGAGCTCCTCATTACTATAAAACATGCTGACTCAATTCATATAGTAATACTATATACTAATTAAGTACTTCATTCATACCACACTCCTATAAGATGAGCTTTAACTATAGATTATCAAAGTATATGAACTTTTGCTGCCAGCAGCAATGTTATTAATACTATCCATTAAAGCAAATAGGAATCTTGGAGTCTTGTACAGAGGACCTAAAATAGCTTGAAGGAATTTGATTCAAATTGACTGCTATGTAGATTTATTTCCAATTAGCTGGGAGTTAATCCAAATGATAGAGTTGTTAAAAGATAAAAGTATAAAAATAGTTCAAATAAACATGCTGAAACAATTCACCTGTGCTGCACAAAAATACTATATGTGTGTATATGCATGTGTATCTATATAATCAGAGATGTATATAGAGAAAATATATCCTTATATATTATAATTTTATATGTACATGCCTTAACTATTTAGACACTGTGTAAAATGGTGTATGTTTAAAGCATCTCTCAAAAAATGTGCAATTTTTGAAATGAGCAGATATCAAACCAAAATATTTCATACTGTATTCATAAAATATAATACATGAGGGATGCTTTTTAAAAGTATAGCATGAATTTTTTACATTTGGATTTCCAGCTGAGGTTATGGAAGACTGAGAAAATAATGCAAATATACAAGAAAGATTACTTGGTATATTTAATCCTACATTTTAAAAAGTTTAAATAGTCTGCAATTGTCCGTTGGCATTTTCAGTTACTATTATTTTATATTGATCATATAATACAAGCAGAAAATGTTTTAGAATAAATTTGGTTAAAATCTCACTTATTTGTGAATAGAACCCCTTATTTCTAATACCAGAAACAAAATAAATGTCTTTTTTAGATAGTAAAAAAACTTAAGAAGTGTTGCTAACGCTCTTATTTCCCTCTCACAACCCAAGGTAGTTAAAAGCTGAAAGTAAATATGTAATCAAATTCTTGTTGCATACTGACGTATTAGGACATTGCCCATCCTCAATCTCTTCATGCAGTATTGAATAAAGGGCTTCATAAATACTTCCAATACCAGATTCATGAATTGCATATGAATTCATCATGTCAATACCAAGTGGAAAATATTCCCAAGGAAGAAATGCAATCCCATTTCACTGGTTCCAAGTAATGTTGACTTTAAATTGTAAGTTCAGCTCTTTCTTTCTCAGGGGAAAATAATCAAAAATGTATAACTTAAAGGTAGCAGATAGCATGCATTGAACAAATGGAACCAAGGATTAAATTAAACAAAAATTATATAATTGTTTTGAAAAGCAAGCTTGTAAGTCATGGTTCCTAGGTTGAAGATATATTAATAAAGCCATTGAGAAATAGCCCCACTGGTAAAAATATTATAAGTATTATGGTCTGGAATAAAACAAAATGTCAGATCTGATTTATGCAAATGACTAATTTTTAAAAGAGTCATAATGATACTGCTGATCTGGGCATCGGTTCTTCATGCTTGGTGTGCTACAGAAAAGCAACTGAAACTGCTTTGTTTGCTCATTGGCCCTAACTTTATTACAGTTGTTAATATCCATACTGATCCCTGCTGGGCAAACCCAGATCTTGGAGTCCTGTTAAACAGCTACCTTAGCTCAAGGAACTTGATCTATGTAGGTACTAACTAAGGGGTCTTATATGCCCCTAGCTGCTTGAGTTAATTTTATTCTTTCTCATGCTTTCAGAAGCTAATCATATTATATTGGTCTTACTCACTCATTCATCAAACATTATTTTGCTATTTTATTCAAATTTGAATATTTAACAATTTTTTGCTGATATCAATTTTTACCTTTTGAAGCTGTTCATCTCCATATTAATTTTATAATCTAACCTTTTAATGGAAATAAGGAACAAAAGAGATAGGACTTGAAAACCATCTCTGTTCCAAACAGAATATTGAAGGTCTTTATTCAGATTATCTTGCCATAGACTTTCCTCTTCTGTTCCCAAAGCAGATCTTGTCAACCCTAATGAAGAATCTAATCCTAACTGAAGTCAGCTGGAATAATTGACATTCCCATTCTAAAAATTACCCATTTGGAAAACAGTAGTTATTGAGAGCCAAATTACCATCTCTGCTCTTCCAACTTCACTCCCTCAGAGATCAGGACAACTTAATTTTTAAAATTTGTCAGGGAACTTCCATAACAATGTTGTCCACAGTACAACTTAAAACTTCTATGAAGAGACCCATAAACTAAAATCTATGGTCTCTGATAAACACAGTATGCTGATCATAGTCATTTCTCACTAACAGTGTATTCTGCATCTAGAGAAGGAAGCATGCAAGGAATTTTATCCAGGAAGGCTCTGAAGCTCACTCTGTGCAACTCCACAGAGCTGCTAATAGTTGTCTCCTTTGGATTTTTTTTAAGAAAGATAACTTTTAAAATAGAAGGTCCATCATCAAATAATTAGAATCCTATATATCATCCTGCTGCCAGGACAAACTTGAATAACTAGCTTGGCCTCCTTTCAAAACAGTAATTCAAAAGAATTCTCCATTATGGCTAGAATTTCTTGGTTCATTCTAAGATGATAAGAGTATCATAAGAACCAAGCATCACTGGTTAGGGAGTTCATTTTTCCAAAAACAGTTTTCAAAAAAAAGATCATTTTATAAAGATCTTAGTCCATCAAGCTCCAACAAGTGTTATGATCTAAATCAGATATTATTGCTCCTCTCATCACTCCACTTGCTTCTGTGTCAAGAAACTTAAATTAATTCCTGACTTTATAAAGCCCCAGGTTGTTATTCAGCAAGTATATTATGTGACTGCCCAATGGAACTGGGTATTTGTGGCCAAGAAAAGCAAAATCCTTGCCCTTATAGAGCTTAAATCTCAGGCACATTCATAGAAGAGATTCTTGAGTACCAGCAGAACACCTAAAGCAAGCATCTTAAATTATTTTATTTATTTATTTATTTATTTTTGAGACAGCATCTTGTTCTGTCACCCAGGCTGGAGTGCAGTGGTGTGATCTTGGCTCACTGCAACTTCCACCTCCCAGGCTCAAGTGATTCTCATGCCTCAGCCTCCTTAGTAGCTGGGACTACAGGTACACGCCACCATGCCCAGCTTATTCTTTTATTTTTAGTAGAGTTGGGGTTTCACCATGTTAGCCAGGCTGGTCTCGAACTCCTGGCCTCAAGTAATCTGCCTGCCTCAGCCTCCCACAGTGGCATCTTAAATTATTTTACCCATTTACCAAAAGAAGAACGGGATGCTATTTTTGATTTGCTGAAAGCACTGCAGAAAAACCAATTGATGTCCAGACACAGACTATAATAATAAGTCATCCAGCTGAATAACCTTTTTATTTGTCATGTACTATATTCCCTTCTGCTTGAGAAGAATATAATTCTAAGAGGTCAGAGATTATGTTTACTTTGTACATCAGCATGTCTCCTTTGTCTGGCATGCCTAAGTTTGGTTGAATAATGGAATGAGCAACAGGCCAAGTAATGAATGAATAAATAAGTATCTTTGAAGCATCTAGTCACAGGGAATCCTACAATAAGTATGCTTCATTTAATACTCTTAATTTTTCACATCTTCCTTCTTGCTCCCTAAAGTGACTGTCAAGTATCCTTCCTGTTATATCAGGCAGAAGAACAGGTCATTAAAAAGACTGTAAATGCATAAATCATAGATTAAGGTAGCTATTTCTATGTTCTTTGTCCCCCACCCCATCCCTTCTTCTTCCTTCAAAAATATGGATTTTTGCTGCTAAATTCTTTAAATCTTGCTATGAGTAGCGATGCAAAAGACTATATATAGTAGCTGTAGGAAGGAACCAATGTGTCATTCATATTATTATGACAAAGGATAGCTCTATTCTTTCCCCAAATTGCAACATCATCAACCCACTGCCTATCTTCTCAAACCCTATTCTACTTTTATCTACTAGATTGTAGCAATGGCTTAATTTTTTTAATAGGAATAAACTAAACATGGTTCAGGAGCCACATTGGATCCAACCCTCAAAAACCTTCCAGGCAAATATCTGTAAAGTTTATAGTGAATAATTCTGTAATTTTAAAGTGCTTATTTAAGTATTTGAGTAGAACCAGAGTTGCTTTTTGAGAAAAGCTTTGGCACTACCTGAGTCATTCCTGCAGTTTCTTGGTAAAGCAAGCTGCTTTTCATTTCAGTGAGAATCTCAGAGAGGCTCTTCATTGTTTCCTCTGAAACACCATCTTGGCCATCAGCTTGTCTAGTTAAGATCACAATAGTTTTCTATCAGTCAACAACAAATAAAGCCATCATCACAGTGTGCTTCCTGTTCTGAATTTTCTGCTACATCGTTCTTATCACAAATCCAGGTAGGATAATTTACAGTCAAAAGAAATTGATTGAAGAGGTAATTTCAAAAAAGTTTTCTGATTGTAAACTCACACAATGTACTTATAAGAAACAAATTTCTGGAATGCATTTAAGATCTTCTGAATTTGAAGATTAAGGGAAGATCCAATACCTAGAACTGTGTCTTGCACGCAGTAGGAGCACACTAAGTATCTGTTGAAAGAGTAAATGTATGAATTATTGAGTCTCATACTACAATGTTTTATTTCCTGAAGGTAGCGTGGGACAGAATCGCCGATTTTTCTACCTACACATTTTGTCTAGATTTTCCCTGAAATGTGAGCTCCTTGAAGGCAGGAGCTTTGATTATCTTGTTCACACTTATAACCCCAGGCACGAGAACAATATGCTACATAAGGTAGGTGCTCACAAAATATTTGTTGAATGAATGAATGAGTCTATAAACCTCTCTATATATCAAGCTTCACATAATGCAAGCGTGCTTACCCAGAGTAGAACCTATAATACAAAACACAGGTGAACCTATGCAAGAAAAGCTGAAAGTTGACATTGATGACTTCAACACATTTCAATGGCCTGCCTATTTTCTAAACAATAATATTCACAATTCTCTTGGGAAGAATTGTAATCTCTCTCATTTAGGGAACAAATTCTTCTCATTTACTTAACTATGTATAATATTGCCCTATAGAATTATTACCTAAGCTAAAAATTTGAAATGTATTAGTTTATTAACATTGTGACAGATTTCACAGGCAATATATCTATAAACCTCTAAGTCAAAAAGCCACTCTAATAGAAAAGGTACAGCCCTTAACATAGAAGGAAAATATATTTTTTTCCTATCAGAGTGAAGGAAGTGTCCTTATTCTGTAGACTCTCAGTGTACTAGCATGGCTTCATGTTATTTGTTGTTTTGTCTTGCCTTTGTTTTTGTATTACAAAATAGAAGCAGAGGTATTTAAAGTACATATAAAAGAAGAATATATTCAAAACATTTTGAGAAATATTGTTTGTCATAAATCCAATAAATGTTGACTAACTGATATGGTTTGGCTCTATGTCCCCACACAAATCTTATCAAATTGTAATCCCCACATGTCAAGGGAGGGACCTGCTGGGAGGTGACTGGCTCATGGGGGTGGTTTTCCCCACGCTGTTCTCGTGATAGTGAGGGAGTTCTCACAAGATCCGCTGATTTTATAAGGGACTCTTCCCCCTTTAATTTCTCCTTCTCTCCTGTCACCATGTAAGACATGCCTGCTTCCCCTTCCGCCATGATTGTAAGTGTCCTGAGGCCTCCCCAGCCATGCGGAACGGTGAGTCAATTAAAACTCTTTCCTTTATAAATTACCCAATCTCTGGTATTTCTTTATAGCAGTGTGAGAATGGACTAATGCACTAAATTAATAAAACATTTTGACCAAATGAATACATGTTATTAGAGTGAAATCTCCAGGAGAACATAGACCACATATTCCGTTACTTTGTATCCTCTGCCTCTAACAGAGTCAGGCTCATAACAGGTACTCAAAAAATTCTTGATAAATGAATGAATGCAAGAATGAGTGAATGAATAAATACATTTCAATTATTTTGTTTTTATTAATCAAACCCATTTTTCATCTAGAAACCTACCACTTTCAGTAGCAATTTGCTTGATACTCAAGTGCATCTACCTTTTTCCACATATTAAGACAATATTGTGCTCTAATTTTCAGTGTCTAATTTTCAATGTTGTATGCTAGCTGTTATAGTACTATGGCACCAAACCATGTTAAGAATTCAGCAAATCACTTAACTCCATTTGACACTTAAATAGACAGCAGTGTTAAATCTGTCACTTTGTTTCTGCTACCTCCATTACTGTTCATGGGATGTTAATGTAGTTGCTATTCACTTAAACAATATACTCACAGTCTTCAATTTTCTTTATTTCTCCACTTTTACAAAGTAGAAAGTCAAATGGTACAGTTAATAGAGCTGTAAAAAAATATAGTACCAAATTTATTTTAATGACAGTGTGGGTGTCATTGATTTAGGACAGCTGCTCTCTGAATAAATATAGTCAGGACCTAATAACTGTACAGAAAAAGACCAAGGCAGATGTCCATTTCAGATGCCTGAAAACCTGTTGGGAGACCACTGCCCAGTTAGAATTACTGGTCTCAGCTGCAGTTTCTTTATAGTTTAAAAAACGTCCCAACTGCTTTTGTATGTAGAAACCCCCTAGATTGATTTCTTACTGGAATAGATTCTTCACAAACAAGGATAATCCTTTATTTGAGGTTTAGTCCCTTGAATTCCTCTCTGTTTTCTTCACTGTCAGGCTTTGCAATTTTTATTTATTCTTGGTAGAATGCACTTACTATTGTAGTTATGGCACTTTTCACTCCAAGCCCTTCTTTTCAGAGCCTTGGAGAAAGAAAGGTCTTTAGTTAGAAATTTCTCATGCTTGTTCACAATTTGGAGACGATTTATTTTAGAAGAGAACAGAGGTGAAGGGAAAGATCATTTATTCCACCATCTTTGAGAACTTGATTATCAGTTAATCACAGGTTTGTTGTTAAATGAAATGTGATGGCTTTCAACATTTAATTTTATGGCTTTTATCTAAGAATTTACACAAATATTTCAAAGTCTCATGAACAGAATAAGCCCAATAGGCTAAAAAAAATTCTTTATGGCTAATGCATTTTAACTTATTCTCTCCCACATTAATGTAGCGAAATGGATTACTGTAACACCAGACATTGAAAGCATATTTAATCTATATATATTTATAAATACATGTATATTTATTCAAATACGGATCTACATATAAACCAACATTTACGTATTCTGCAGATGTCCTTTCAGATCTTTTTTTGAGACAGGTTCTCACCCTGTTCCCCAGGCTAGAGTACAGCGGCACAACCATTGCCCACTGCAGCCTCAACCTCCTGGACTCAGGCAATCGTCCTGCCTCAGCCTCCTGAGTAGCTGGGATCGCAGGTGCATACCACCATGTCTGGCTAATGTTTAATTATTTGTAGATATAGGGTCTCATTATGTTGCCCAAGCTGGTCTTGAAATCCTTGGCTCAAGCAGTCTTCCCACCTTGGCCTCCCCAAGTGCTGGGATTACAGACATGAGCCACAGCACTCAGTCTCAAATGTTTTTAACACTAGCTTCAACCACACATGGAAGAGTCCATAATAATAAAAACTGTCACTCTTTAAAATCTCTGCTTAATATCTTAGCTTTTTAATCCATTGTTTTCCAGAGCTTTTTCTCCATGAGAATTATTGCATATGTGCTTAGGACTAAATTATATAATGGTTACTGAAACAATTATTCAACAGTATTTCAAAATGCATCAAACTTACTTTAGGGCTCTCTGATTTTGCTACATAGAAGTAAAATATTTAGACTAACTTCTTTAGAGAATAGTAAGATTCAAGGCAATCTATTGCTCTCGTCTTTTCTTTTTCTAATAAAATAAATTCTTCAAAGTAAGTTATTGCCAATTACTTACAAGAATATATAGGAAGAGGATTAGAAAAAAATAGTGAGTGGATTTCCTTAGAAGACTATTTCAACTTCCTAAGTAAGAAGTCTTCAATATTATCTATTAAATAGCACAGAGACTATAGTAAATAATATATAGAGAATGAAACTAGATATAACTATTAAGAATTTAAAGGAAACTTGTCATTATCTTCTTAATTAGATGTAAGAGCAGGCTGCTTATGAAAGTTAAGCCCCTATACGCTTTTCTGATTTTTCATGCTAAACTCGAAGACTCTACAATAAATAAAACCAATGAAATACAGAATTTAGATTCAGATAATTATTTCTTAAAGTTTATATACCAGAAACAGAAATAAGGAGAAGATCTACATAAAAACGTAAAGTTATATGTTGTAATTATTATTATATTTTTATTCTCTAAGACCTCAAAAACTTGATTTTGCCTCAGATTTGCAATTCCAAATGCAAAATTAAGGTAAGTACCCTTGTTTTTTTTCCCTAAAAATATTTGACTAGAGGTAAGACTAGGAGTAAGCCATTATGAAATTTAAATTCTCTTTCATCTTCTTAGGGTAGGACCAATAAGTAAGAAGCAAGCTGGACATCAGTTTTGTATGCTAGGAGGTCCCTGAAAGGAACATACCTATCCAGGACAGAGCCCAAGATGTTATATAAACTGTACTGGAGGCAGCCTCATATGAACTGGAATTGTCTTAGCTATTGCTCCAGAGAGCACAAGTAGGCATCTAAGGAAAGCATACAAGGAAAGATTCTCTCCTGTCTTCCATATTCAGAACATCACACTGCTATCAACTTTCTGGGTACAAGGGAAAAACATAAGTGACTCTTGCCTAACTCCCCAATATTGAAAACTATTATGCTCATTTGGAAAATCTTTTGCCAACACAAAAGCATTACTTCCCATAAATTCACAAATGGCATATAATTTTATGTTCAATAGAACATTACGATTACTGTGTATGAAACACAGTAGGACCATCTGGCAGGCATATTATTTGTGACACAAATCTCAGCCTGTGTTTCAAAAAATTTTTAAAGGCATTACATAAAATGCTCAGCTAGATATTTGCCAGGGTTCAAAATGAAAACATAACGCATGAGCCACTCAGAACTTACAAATAAATAAAAATGGAAAGGTCAGCAATGGTCTTTCTTCCTCACTGTTACTAAGCCTTTCAAATAAGCTCAGGAAATGTATGCAGGTGGTTTTTTGGTTAATTTGATAGAGGTACATCCATGGAACCAATTTACAAATGATTTGCAGGCAGGCTGGCATTACTGAAATAAACGGTGCTATTACTACGATTTATGCTACTATTCCTAACACAAATGATAAAGTGAAATTTACAGTCCTTAATTACCACCATGAAAAATTGGAAGAGAGAGAAAAGAGCAAAGACTGGCAATTTACAAACTTGTCAGTAAGGCAAGATGCAAAAATCCATTTTCTTTATTTTTTAAAAAAATATATATTGTATAAATAGGCCTTACTATGTTGTTATCAATCCTCTGGTAAGAGGGGGTAGTTAAAAATAAAACAAACAAACAAAAAATGACCAGAACCTAACCTTAGGATGCCAGGAAACGTGGCTTAAAGCAGCTGACAAAATGAAGCCTCTAATTATAAAAAGCAAGAAGGTGACAAAACACAATACTGCACATTATTTGGGCCACTCAGAAGACCCAGTTTGCTCTTCAAATCTTTTCCTTTCTTCTATATTTTAAAAGGTTTATAGCGGAGGAAAAATCAAATTAAAATCTGCAATTTTTCACTGAATTTTTTTATCTTGTCTCATTCATATCTAAGTCGTACCTGCTTGAAGTCTGTTAGGGTATTCAAAAATACTTATAGGGAGGTTGTTATGTATGGAACACTAATAAAGCTATACAGAAAACTTACTTTGAAGACATGACTTACACACTACAGTTGTCAAGAGATTAGGAATAATGTGAATGCCCCCATTGGCTGGGCTCATGGCCCATTCTTGTTTTCATCTTCCATCATTTACTACTTTAAAAATCTAGCCATGCTTTATTTCCAAAACCTATTTGCTTGCATAACTGTGATACAGGAGCTAGAAAGAAATTATTTAGGAAGATATTAAGGGCAACAGAGTCCTTGGTGGAATTTCTCTTTTAACAGAAAGCAGCCCCAAATAATTTCTTTTCTAACAAAGAGCAGCCTGAAAAATCTAGCTGCAGACATAGATAAGCAAGCTAGAAGCTCACACAGGGGAATGCCAGCAGCTATGCCAATAGAAAAGGGCTACCTGCAAGCCAGTTTTGTTCAATATACAGGCTCCATCTTCCCTTTCCTTTGTCACCATGTGTACGGTAAAGAAGCAGGCAACATTGCACCAGCCAAGGTAAAGAACCCATCTGCATAATAAAATATTAGGGTGGGGTGGCCAGTTTTTTCACGAACTATACAAATGGCACACCTAGCCCTAACCAGTTTCTCGTACCTTATGCAAATGGCACACCTGGTCCGACCAATCTTTCGTGCCCTGTGTAAATCAAACACTGCCTCCTCAAGCTCATCTATAAAACCCACTGCATTCCACCATGGAAGCGGCAACTCATTTCTCTGGGACCCCTCTCTCTGCAGCAGAGGGAGCTATTTTCGTTCATTCACCTGCTAAACTTCAGCACTGAACTCACTCTCTGTGTGTCCGCGTCCTAGTTTTCCGTGGCCGCGAGACTGCGAATTTCAGGTATTTACCCCAGACAACAATGCCGCTTCAACTGGCCTACTTTTAGGGAATGGCTGGGGTTCTAATGGACCTTCTAATCACTATTTGCTAAGTTTGGTTCAGTCTATGGTAATTCCACACAGTGGCCATTTGTACTGTTGCACAGGCTGCTTTATTCTGTGCAACAAGAATAAAGTACAAATTCTGTACAAAATTCTGAAAAGTTACAAAACATGACAACTGATTCAATATGAGGGGCAACAGAGATGGAAGAATCAAAGACAGCAGAAGTTTCTTGTCTGCCTGATTTAGGAAATAGTGGTGCAATTTTAGAAACAGGGAAGGCACAACCCAAAGCTGGAAATTTATCAATTTCTTTCAGGAATGTTAACTTTGAGTTTCAGGGCACCTAGTTGTACACATTCAATAAACATTATTAGAAAGGTAGGGCTAAAATTCTGGAGAGAGCTTAGGCCCAAAGATGTAGGTTCGGGATAAATATGAATAGAAATAAAGGTTGAAAGCATGGGTTAGGATCGGATGGTCATAGTATAGAATGGAAAGGAAAGAAGTCTGAAAGGAAATACAGAGAAAAGACATATTTAGAGGACCCGGGAAACAGAAAATGAGTTCCAGAAGGAATAGTCAGTGGAGAAGTAGGAGAATCCTAAAAATAATCTTAGGAAGAGAGAAATGATCACCAATGTCACATACTACATAGAAATCTGGAAGAATGAGAGATTTTATTAAATCTGTTGGCCAAAACAACTTCAATAAATAAAAACCAAAATACAAACCTGGGTGTGTACTTCTTTCCAAACTCAAATTGTATACATTAAATATGTACAGCATTTTGTATGTGGTACATATTAAGTGTTTTTTAATTTTTAAAAAACAGACTACAAGATTTAAGAAACAACCACATCAAAGAAAACAGAACTGCATGTATAGTTTTCCTGTTAGAAATCAAATAGGAAAAGATTCAGGAGAACACTTTGGAGATGGATTAGAGGGCTTTTTAAATAGTGGATATCAAGCATATGTAAGTATCTTAGTGATTTCTAAATGTTTTTCCACTTCTTAAAAACTACTTCTCTCATTACTAAGATATCATAGTATGGGAAAAGCCTTCAGATAAGTCTCTTTTGGAGTTTATCCCTTTTGTATGTAAGACCTCATGATCATGGTGGATTCTTATTTTATTTTTGCCTTGTTCCTAGAAAACCTGTGAACACTTGGGCATTCTACAAGCAAGTAGTTTCAGTGTTTCTATTTCCCATAAATTCAGGCTTCATTACTACTCCACAAAACTTAAATTTTTTAAGCAGCTTTTTCTCCACTTCAATTATCTTTCTCCAAGGTTTCAAATTGTAATAAAAGGTTCGCATCTTCTTTAATAATTTCCTAATTTCAAATTCCTAAGTTTCACGCTTTTCTCTCAGACTTTTCCATACCTCCGTTCTCGTATATTTGGGTGGTATCTCCTTCTCATAAGTAGTTTCTAGGTTATAATTTCATTAGCATTCTTGAAACAGCCCCATGGAACTTGAAATGCTCTCTTTCTTCTAATTTATTAGTATTTCATCAAAGTTTAATATTAACTACCATTTGAGGACTTACTCTATTTATTAAACATTATATTAAGTGCATGAAATTCATTTCTCTTTTCATCCTCTCTGCAAACCTATTGAGGGAGTATTTTCATTCTCTATAATTCACAGGTAAGGAAATCGAGCATTAGTAGGGCAGGGTCACTCATCCAAAATCACACAGGAAGAAAGCAACAGAGCTGGGATTTGAACTGCATCCCTTTGACTCCAGTGCTCATCATCTTCCTTGTGGAAAAAATCTACTTCAACCCTTTTAGTCTTACTTATAAGGATTTTAATCATTAATTAATACATTTTTAGTTTTGAAACTCTGCTGAACAAAACAAATTCTCTTCAGAGAAAGCAGGCATCAATTTGTCAATTCTGGTTCATCCCAACTCAAAATACTCAAAAGGATACATTTCGAGAATTTTTTTTTTCTTCTTTTGTCCTTAATTCACACTTGGGTCTAGCAATCCTGTCTCCTAAAAGACCCATTTATTGTTTCAATGGGTCTTTCCCTCTGTCATTCCCTCTGTTCTTTTCTCTATTCTAGTTACTCTGATAACTAAGAGTAATTATTGATAGACAGTGATAAATGTGTATAAGATCACCACAATTTGAAAATACTCATTAATTTTCATTAATATTATGATAACCACATATTCTAGAGTTGACTTTAATACATATATTTTTCTTATCAAATATAATCTGTTATGAATCAATAAGTATATACATACTAATGACATTAAGGTCAGCAATATACCTTTATATTGCGTAGTTTAGTGTAAATATGTTAAATTTTAATCACATTATATATACATACATATATATACACATTCACATATATGTATTTTAATGATTTTTAAGCCAGTGGTATATCTTTATATTAAGTAGTTCTCAGTCAATACATATATTGATTCCTTACTACATATGCTATTTGTTTTTCTCTCTTCTCAAACACATTAAAAATAGAACATCACAATTATATTTCAATATGGTAGCCATTAGCCACATCTTGGCTATTTAAATTTAAATTTGAATTAATTAGAATTAAATAAAAGAATCCAGTTTGTCAGTTGCAATAGCAGCATTCCAACTACTCCAAAGCCACATGTGGCCAGTGGCTACCATTTTGGACAGGACACATACAGAACATTTTCTGTCATTTCCACAGAAATGTCTATTTGGGCAGTGCTGACCTAGAATACCCAAAAGCTAAGTCCATTTTTAGGATGTCCTGCCATTTCTTTTAAGATTATTACCTTCTTGGCTACTTTCTTTTTTATGGCAAACCCTTAGGCATTATTTATTTTTCCACTACCACTTTGTAATACTACTGAAAATATTTTACAACATATGATCAATATTGCAAATGTTCCCCAATTCAAAAAGTCTTCCATAATTTTTTTCTTAAACAAAATAGCCAACAGACCTGAGTTACTTCTGTCATTTCCCCTTCCTCCAAAACTTAAAAAACAACACAAAAATACAGGAAGGCTCTGTAATAGAATGTGCAACCCTTCGTAATTTCCAGCGATGAAACTATCTGTTCTTCCAGGTGGTCCTATGATGAGAATTTCATATCTAGAGTTGGAAAAAAAACTCCTTAATAGTTTATTCTATTTTATACAGACAGGCCATTATTTGAGCTCCTAAATCCTATATTTCTACCATGGTCAGCAACTTTATGCTGTCAGCTTCTGGTTGTTTCCTTGCTTCCTTATTTTTTGAAAACTGAAACCAATAGAATACACAGGTAAAAAACTGGCAAAAGTTAAGATTGCAATCTATAGTTACGGAACACACAGGGATAACTGGCCAACGCATGGATCAAAACTCCAATCTTGGCCTTTTTATCACATAAGACTACAACAAAGTTTAAGTCATATGCTGATATGGTTTAGCCCAAATCTCACCTTGAATTGTAGTTCCCATAGTCTCCAAGTGTTGTGGGAAGGGACCCAGTGGGAGGTAATTTAATCAGGGAGGCAGTTACCCTCATGCTGTTCTTGTGATAGTGAGTTCTCACAAGATCTGATGGTTTTATAATGGGCTTTTCCCCCTTTTGCTTGGCACTTCTCCTTCCTGTCATTATGTGAAAAAGGACGTGTTTGCTTCCCCTTCCACAATGATTGTAAGTTTCCTGAGGCCTCCCCAGCCCTCAGGTTAATTGACTGTGAGTCAATTAACCCTCTTTCCTCTATATATTACCCAGTCTCAGGTATGTCTTTATTAGCAGCATGAGAATGGACATATGTATTAGAAAAAAAAAAAGGAATATATCATTCAATTGTTTCTTCTTTTCTTAATAAGTAAAAAGAGCCACTGAAACATGAACCTAGTCCCT
Source organism: Homo sapiens (assembly GCF_000001405.40). Classification (NCBI taxonomy): domain Eukaryota; kingdom Metazoa; phylum Chordata; class Mammalia; order Primates; family Hominidae; genus Homo; species Homo sapiens. Next base: position 129,164,046 of record NC_000004.12, on the reverse strand, counting down.
TAAATATGAAAACCAATTTACCTCAAGGGCAACCTTTTAAAAACTAATCAAAGTTTTTCAGTAAAAAGCATCTGGTTGTTGATTATGAGTAGTTAATAATGTCATAAACTATTAGGTGCTTTTAAATGAATTTCTTTTTAACACAAATTTTCATACACTGACAAAGATATTTATACTATTTTTGTGACACTTTTACTGGTGTATTTGTAGAGGACTGAGAGAAAAAGAGGGAGTCACAGGTCTCATCACCTCGATTTTCATCTTTGCCACCTGTATACCTGGTGTTGAAACAATGTGAATCTTATCTCAATTGACAACAAAGCCCTACACAATACAAGTGCTCCCTAGATACTTCCGATTTCCAATTGCCTGTCATTCCATTTTTTTATATAATACTTTGAGTTGCTGTTTTGATAATGCCTGCCATTCCATTCTGACAGAAGATCGGTTACAACAATATTGAAATAAGTCAGTCTAAAGCCTTTTTACTCAAAGTATTGTCTGCAGGTAAGCATCACATGGGTGCTTATTAGTAACATAAGATCTCCCACCCCAACTCAAATTTACTGAATCAGAATCTGCATTTTAACAAGATCCCATGGCAATTTGTTTGAGAATCATGATGTTAGAGACTTGTGACCCATATTAAGCATGGATTTCGGTTAGATCTTATATATCTAGATTTTGTATTGCCTTAGCTCTCATGGACAATATAAAGAATAGTTTTTAAATGTGCCATTTTACATGCATTAACTCATCCAGTCTTCCTGGAAGCCCTGCAGGGTTGGTAATCCCCATTTTACAATAAGGAACCCAAGTCTGAAAAAGGTTCAAGGCCAGTGAGTGGTAGTTTCAGTACTGAACCCCTATCTCCTAGACCCAAGGACCTGAGCTCTAAAGTCACTGGCCTGGGTGAACTCCCCAACCATAAAGCTTTTGCCTTTTAATTTACTTGAGATTAAATCAAGAAAAAATTTATATAAGTACTTCTCTTTTATAAAATTGAGATTATAAACACATGGCCCAAATATTGTATTCACACTATTTTATTTATCTTTGTTTTAGGACAAGGAAAAACTTGGCAGAAGAAGCATGTCAATAAATTTTCAGAAACTAGATGGAAGAAAGGTAATTTATTGATCTAGAACAGCAGAAATCAGAAAACATTGAGTGCATGTAAAGGGAGAGAGCAATAAAAAGCAGGTTAATTTGCCCTACAGAATCTCTGAAAGACTCAGGCCTTGGGAAGACAATAGACACTTTAAAGATATGAGTAAATCTCATGGCTCAAGCCAGGAGTTTATTTGAAAGAAATTGTCATTATGCCCATAGAGTTCTTCTTAAACCCAAGCAGCCAGAGGTATCTATTACCCAGGCAGGAAACCAGAGGTTTGTTCTTCAGAGAATTCAACCAGAGGGGCTCTTGATTTAGTCATACTAGGCAGAGAGGGTGTTGGAGGTGAAAAAGTAGATGAAATATGGTTGATTAAAGAAGTCTATACACTGAATGATAGAAACTCCAGCCTCAATTTTTGTGCTGTTCATAATCCTGAAGGAAAACCACCCAGAAACTAGGCTAATGAATTCTTCTCTAACTAGAACAGCCCTAGAGAATATACTTACAGCAAATGATTACTGAAGGTCTCCCAATTTAAAAAAAAATCCACTCAGAGCTTCTAATATCAAAATAGACAAGAACCACCAAGCATTTGAAGAAAACCTCTCATATAAATGGCAAGAACAAGATCAAGCATAGAAACAGAACACAGAGAAAATAGAGCAACAGAAATAGCAGAAGAAAACTTAAAATTTATTAGTAGTCCTCACATCTTCTAAAAGATGAGGTGTTGCAGACACAGAAAAATTGCTGGATATTGTTGTTTTTAAAGTGCACATTCATGGAATAGATGATAGCTTTTGGAAATTAATTTTTATTACCAGAAAAAATTTTAAACATGTAAATTTGAAAAATGAGTCAAGGAAATCTCATGGGAAATGATGTAAAGTCACAAAGGGATGGAAAACGATGTAAAGTCACAAAGGGATGGAAAATGAGGTAAATTAAAAGAGAGAGAGAGAGAGAATCATCCACATAGTCCAACATCTTACAGTTAAAGAGTTCTAAACAAACAAAATAGAAAAAAGAAAGTTAATAAAGAAATATTAGAAGAAAAATTTTCCAGAGGTAAAGGACATGAGTCTCTACAGTAAAGAGTTCATAGCATAGCCAGTACTAAGAATGAAAAGAGATTCATATCAGTTTAAAGTATCTAAAATCCTAGTGCGACAGGGATAAAGAAAACACAGGAAAAGTATTCAAAAGAAGAAACAAAATGACACATTAAAAAAATAAGTAAAAGAATTGAATGTCTCATCAATAATAATGGAAACTAGAAGACCATGGAGGACTGTCATTAAGATGGTGAGGAAAGATGACTATCAACTTCAGTGGACATTTTCAGACACAGAATAGTCAGAAACTGGACAACCCACACCTCTTTCCTAAGAAGATTCTGGATTTTATGCTTCAGAAAATCATGGGAGTAAACTAAGAAAGGTAATTATCCAACAAACAGGAGCTCCAGCACAGTAAGTGCTACAGAGAAGCTCCTGAGTGGTCTCTGTGCAGCTCACTGTCAAGGTGGCAAGCAGCCAATCCAAAGCCTACCAAGTGGATTAAGAGCTATAGGGAAAAAATAAAACCAACAGAATATTTGAAACTGGGTTTGAGCATTTGTAAAAAATTAATAGGTTTATGACAAATATGAGGGAAGACTTGGGGAAAAAAATACAGGCAAATAGGAAACTAGACAAATGAAAAAAATAAGGCAATTATAAACTTTAGAAGAAAGTGTGATAAAGAACGTGTTATTAAATACACTTCTCACCTCTGTAGCGGACAAAATTTAAAAATCATAGTATAAACACTGATAATTTAACTAAAATTTGTGACGTAAGTGTTCTGAAAGGATGGAGTAAGGAGGGAAGGTGATGAAAAGAGAGCTAAATCCTCAACCACTATAACAGGAGGTGAATAGATAAGACTTTTCGCTTGATGAATTAGAAAAGGCCAGTATCTGTATATTATTCAGAAATAATTAATAAAGTAAATACAAAGACAACTCTTGATATTTACAAGCAGTTGCCTGTGAGGGAACAAGACTAGAGTGAGGAGTAATGGGGCAAACAGTGCTCCATTTACTCATAAGCCCTGCAGTTGATCTTCTAAACCATGTGTGTTTGTAAAATAATTTTTAAAACACACTGAATAAATGTCTTTTTTTAAAATGTGCTGTGTAAAGTTAGTCTACTCTGAAGCCATCTTGGTAAATTTCCCCAAAAGTGTGAAGTTAGAATTCCTTCAGGGTGATACCAGGTTCTATTTGGAATTTATATACAACCTGCTAGGGTGGCGAAGCCACTGTCTTTGGAAACCTTGGTGTAGTTGAACTGATAGTTACTGTTGTGACCTGAAGTTCACCATTAAAAGGGATTACCCAAGCAAAATCATGGAATTATTGGTTATAAAAGTGATTGTTGGCACATCCTATGCAATATATCTAAATTGAATAATGGTACCAGATAAAATTATAGATGGGAATGAAGCTTGTGCATCATCCATTATCATGTGTAATCAATAAACGATTTAATTCTCTTGAAAAAAATAAAAATAAAAATAAAATTGCTTTTAAAAACTCTATGGAAATAACCTAATTGTCCACCAATTGAGGAACATATGAGTTCTATATATTGAAACAAAATACAGCACTTAACATGAGCCATTGCAAAATATACAACTTTGCAAAATATTTGACTTCTGCCATATTTATATAATTTATATATCTATACCTATGACTCTCTCTATATATATATATGCCTCATATTGTCATTTACAAAAACATCTTAATCGCTTTTTTAATTAATTAACAAGAATACGTCATTTTATAAACTTTCAAAATACATAAAATATGTCTTTTATGAATACACATATTGAAAGGCATGAAAATACCATGGAAATAATACAGACCAACTTTAGAATAGTGAAAGTAGAAAAAAATGAAAAAGGAAGAGAGAAGAAAGGAAGGAAAAGAAAAGGATTAAGAGGTGAGATTTGGTGTGTCTATAATGATTTATTTTTTAATATCTGACAAATTCAGGTAGTGAGAGTTAATTCCAGGTGGTAAGTGTCATTATTTTCTGTGCTTCTCAGTCATTTTGAAATATTTCACTTTTTAAAAAAATTTATGGTTCTACATTGTTGAAAGTGTCCTCAGTTTATATAAGATTTTCCAACAAAGTACACACTATTCTCTGCTGTTCCTTTTAGGAAGCTGAGTAGAAGAAACTCTGTTCCCAGAAGAGCAGTTATCATTACTAAATCCAGTGTGCAAGAGCACATATAAAGCAATAAGTCTTATGAAGGACCCACTCATAAACCATCCAAACCAGGGGTTCATTAAAAAAATATTAGCCTCACAGATACAACCCTCTCAAGTCCTTGAGCTCTCTTATTTTGTTTCCTTTTCCCAGAACTTTAGAGGAGAAAGTCAAAGTTAAAAAAAAAGTACGTTTTTGAATTCCCAAAAACATTTAAACCTGCATTTCAAGATATAGTAATTGTAGCATAATGATAAAATCAATTTAATATAGATTTGTATTACTCACAGCAAATGCTTCACCATGGCAGACCAGCAGGACTAGGTGCTGTCCGTACCTAAGCAAACAAAAGAGAATCATAATGATAAAGATGAAATTAGGCCAATAGCTCAAGTATTTTCAAGTCAAAATGTCATCCAATTTTCATTTTTTATATAATTTTATTCATGATTTTCTAGTAGCTTATTCTTGGAAAATAGTGGCTATTTAAATGACAGAAGTTGAGAACCAGTAATGGTGGGACACAGAGTGTGTACATTTACAGATTTTAAAGGAAGGGATTTGTCTTTTCCATTTGCATAGATTATATACATTTCCCCGCTTTTTAAAAAACTTACTATAAAAAGTGTGCTAAACAATGTCCATAAATCTGAACTTCATTTACATTTTTACCTCTTCAAGTAACAGGAAAAGTTAATTATCAGATAAAAGAACATCAATTTCAGGACCAGCTGTTTGGATTCACGTTAATAACGTTCAACACAGTGTACGTAATACGCTAATGTATTCTACTCACAAATTGTCAGAGATGTAAATGTACCAGCATCTACCCGATTTACTGCCTTTCACACAAGAGACACGTGCATTTCAACCAAAATCTGCATTAAGTACATACCCGACAGGTGTCATATTTGTAAGGTTAGAAGCTAAATTGCCTTATCAAAAAAGTTAAAGAATGAGTATCTTAGAAACGTCTCTTAAGAATTAGGATTCCCAATAATGTTTTAAAATTAACATTCGATCAGTAGTGTTCAAAGTTGGTAACATGAGAAAATTAAATTACAGAAATTTAATACCTTTTATCTTTAAATTTAATTATTTTTCATTTATAATAATGGACAATTAATGGACACTCAATGTAGTACTATTTGACCTAAAGTTTTTTACTTCCTACACTGATGTATATGGTATATATTTTTTACTTTCTGCATATTAGGATGTTTTTGGAATCTTAAAAAAAGCCTTTCTGGCTAGGAAAGACTGCCCATCCAGAAACTAGCCAATTATTAGAAATAGCAAAGGGCCCAGCTGGGAGCATGCCTTTGAGATGCAAAGTAACCAATCCAGAGCCATATCTTCTCTATCCATACACCCCAGGAAGCAATATTCCTCTGCTTTAAACAACCCAAGGCCAGGTACCATGCAACGGAGGATAGCCCCTATCTCATAGTTTAGAGGCTGTCAAAATTTTTTAAACTTCCCAATCCTAAACTGTTTACCTACCCTGTCTTTCCTGCACCAGCAAAAGCCACGGCCCAGGCTCTCCCCTGGCTCCTGCCCTTTTGCATCCTGACTAAAGCTGATGCTTTCCCATATGGCCTTGCTTCCAATTTCTAGGGCCTGTGGGTACAAATGGTCCCCATTTTAGGATGGTTAGACTTAACGGTTTTTCAACATTGTGATGCTGCAAAAGTGACACGTTCAGTGTGAAGATGCACTTCCATTTTCAGCTTACATTATTTTCAACTTAGGATGGATTTGTCAGCCTCCTTATAAGTTGAGACGTATCTGTATAATAAACTTTGCTTCCCTGAGCCTCTCCTGTAGCCACACCTAATCAACTATCATATGAAAGAACACATAAAATGATGTTCATGTTTCACTTGTTTTCCTGTTTTCTGCATGAAACATTCCTGCTGATTGTTCACCAGTATCTGCTCTCCCCTGCTACCTTTTAGCTGGCCCATGACTGCTACAGGTGATATTTTCAGCCTCCCTTGCAGCTAGATGTGGCCCTGTGATTAGATTTTAGCCAAACTAATTACACAGACGAGAAATAAAACTTGTTTTGTTAATCTAAAGGACAAAACTAGGAACAACACAACAAATATAAAGGAGGGAGCCTCAAATATAAGAAATTACTAACAATAACATTCTTTAGAAGATATTGCACTTGCAACATGAGATTTTCTTTTCAAACAAAGGCTGAATAATGGGCTCCACCACTAATTGGAAGGAGAGATTTCTGAACCAAATAAAAGTTTTGGATATACGGCCCTTAAAGTCTCTTCCAGCTCTAATATTTTATGGTTCTATACTAAGTAGGAAAAGGAAAGTTGGGAGGAAGGCAAGAAAATGGGAGGCAGGATGAAATGACAGGAGGGAGTGAGGCAAAAACGAGTAAAGAAAAGACAACTTTTAGAACTGAGTTATTTTTTTTTTTTTAATTTTTCTGGACAGGTTCTTGCTCTGTTGCCCAGGCTGGAGAGCAATGGTGCAATCACAGCTCAATGCAGCCTCAACCTCTTAGGCTCAAGCAATCCTCCCACCTCAGCCTTCCTAGTAGCTGGGACCACAGGCATGTACTACCACACCTGGTTAATTTTTTTAAATTATTTTTTGAATACACAGGATCTCACTATGTTGCCCAGACTGGCCTCCAACTCCTGGGCTCAAGCGAGTCTCCTGCCTTGGTCTCCCAAAGTGGTGGGATTACAGGCATGAGCCAGCACACCTGATCAGAACCAAGTAATTTATAGCCAAGAACTAGATTACTGGGAAACAAGTCTTAATGATTATGAAAAAAATTTGCTTTAAAGATAATTTTTATATAATACCAAGTTTTGTCGGACACGGTGGTTCATACCTGTAATCCCAGCACTTTGGGAGACGGAGGTAGGTGGGTCACCTGAGGTCAAGAGTTCAAGACCAGCCTGGCCAACTTGGCAAAACCCTGTCTCTACTAAAAATACCAAAATTAGCTAGGTGTGGTGGTGCATGCTTGTAGTCCCAGCTATTCGGGAAGATGAGGCACAAGGATCTCTTGAACCCAGGAGGTAGAGGTTGCAGTGAGCCAAGATCATGCCACTGCACTCCAGCCTGGGCAACAGAGAGAAACTCCATCTCAAAAAATAAATAATAAAAATAAAATACAATACCAAGTTTCACATGTTCCTATTCTTTTTGAAAAACAAAATAACCACATTTTACAAACAAAATGTTTGAGAATCTAGAGAACGGATTCCAGATTCAGAGTATAAAAGTAGAACTATGGCTTTGAGATTAACGTAATTGGAATCAAAAATCTTTCATTTATCATTTACAATAGCAGTTTTAGACTCCTTGATTGATTCATGTTACAATCATGGAGTAATTTAACATCCTAATTTATAACATGCTGTTGGTTGACTTTTGCCATACTTATATTTATGCCTGCCCTAGATTCTGTCACTTTACAAGCACCTTAGTTAATGGCTCCCTCCAGCTTATTTATAAGTTTAATTAAAGCAAATAAGGCAAAGACTATGCTACGCTCATCTTTGCACCATCTCTAGTGCCTAACACAATGCCATTGTTTTCAGTGGGGCTCCAAAATAATTTTATTCAACAATCATTTATCGAGTCTCTACTGTGCACCTGCCAACGCTCTGGGCACTGAAAGTAACATAGTGTTATAGTTAAGAGTGTGAGCTTCCAAGTGAGACAAATCTCTATTGGAATCCTTGCTGTGCCATTTAGTATACCTCAGTTTCTTATACCTAAAGTTTCCTCACCTGTAAAATGGATAAAATAATGATACTTTCCTCCCAGGTAAAGACAAAATGTGACAATATGTATAAGATGCTTAAAATGGCCTGGAATATAGTAAATCCTCGACAAATGTTATTTGTAAATCAATCACATAGTATTTATAATGTGATGTTAATTATATGACTATTCATATTATAATTTATGCACTATAAATTCATTGAATAAAAGTACCAGGAGGAAAGGACTTTTACCCAATTTTTTTTCCATTGCTGTATCTCCAGTGCCTAAAATAACACTGGAACAAGGTGTTTAAAATAAATGAATCAGTAATCAAGACATTTTTACATAAAAATGATTTTATTTTCTACAACAAACTTATTTTAAGAATTAGAAACTATGTGAAAGAATGCTCTATTAAAATTAAATGAAGCAGTACTTAAAATATAGCTAGATATTCTATTTCCTTCCAGGATCTCGCCTTGGAAAGATCAGATCACTCGTATCTTTATGGCACTAACTACTTACACTAAAATGCTTACCTTTACAATCTAAGTAACAAAATATTCCAATTAGTCATATATTGTGAGTTAATTAAGCAAAACTGTTACCACCTGGAAGTCTTAACACATAAGAAATTTAAAAATCAAAAATGATAAACTCTTGAATTTCTTCTCAATCTCTGGGACTACACAAGAGAAATGTTTTTAACAGAAGAAATTAAAATTTCAATAATTTCAAGCTCATCTTCCTAAAACATATTTTAGTAGTTCCTGATGTATAGGAAAAGTGATTTATCCACACTTACTCATTTTTGTATTCAGTACTCCAAAAGGCAGAGTTCCTGATAGAAAAGAAGAAACAAAACGTGATGCACCTGAATAACCCACAAGGATTTATGTTTAAGAATTATATTATGAATGTACTGTATGTAATGAGGTATAACAGACACCAGTCACTTCTCTCTTCTAGCTAATGTTTCTCCCTTTCCCCCAGAGCCGTCAGTCCCTTGGAGAACTAACAGCTCCTCTCCCTTCCAACTCTGTGATTCACAGACCCCTTATCTTTACATGCTGAAATAGGAAGAAAAAAAATCTTTGTTTCCTCTAAGGTGGCTTAGCTAGCACTGCTGCAAATTTTCACCTGCCTGAGTCAGCTCCCTCAACTCTACTACAAAATGAAAGCCTCTTTCTATAAGAGGAAAGAATAAATTAAGACAGACGCACACAGATTTGTAAGAGACAGAGATGAATGAGGGGTAAGGCATGGGAGTATGAGAAGGGTACAGAGCAAGGGAGAAATGCCCGTTTACATCGCTCTGATCTTGGGATTCATTCAGGTCTGAGGCAGGCCACCTAGTTCACCTCTGATCTTCTTAGAAACCTGAGCCAACAAGCCTCTTTTTTATGAGTTGTACTTCTTTCGCTGTTAATGAAAAGAATTCCAATGCACACAGGAGATTTTCTATTTTACTTAATTACAAAATACCTAAGGTACAGAATAAGTTTATAAATCAAAATATTTCAAGTCTTATGAATACTCAAGATTTTCAAATATGGGCACTATTTTTGTTTTCTGTTTTTAATATTTTATACATTTGTATAATTAAAATTGCAGAACACTTGGGTTTTACTTATTAAAACTTTCTCCTCTATGAGTTGTGAATTTCCACACAATTAGAAAGAATACTGAAAATGACGAATTTATTTTGAAGAAATTATCTTACCAACTCAAGTTAATATAATTATTAAGTTAGCAACAGAGTCACTAGTGCATGAGGATTTTAAAAAGCACATAATCTGAAGCCAGACTGCCTTGATTCATATTTAGGCCCTGCCACTTGCTCATTGGGAGGCACATGTTTTCTCATCTATAAGATAGATTACAGAGTCATTAAAAGATTTAAAATGTGGACAGTGCTCAGAACAGTATTTGACACAGAGTAAGCATTACATCAGTGTCAGTCATGTTATTTAAAACAAATGATTTCACAATAAGCAGACCCTAGGTTTCATGAACATGACTTGGCAATAATAGTACAATGCTTTAAAATGCCTCATTGGTTGGTTCATTTTATCATCTCACACTTTGCTTCAATTAAAGAAATGAGGATCAGATCTACTTGATAGACGCACAAAAGTTCATATGTACAACATCCAAATTAATTAAGCATCTCAGCAATGTTAGTAATGACAAAGCCAAAATAGCATGGTAGTTCCCCTTGCTACCTGCCCTTTTTCTCCTTAGAGAGGAGTGCAATGGAAAGCAAATTATCTGACTAGGAATTTGGGACTTGAGGCTGAAAGAATCTAATGCTGATTGCTTCTGCTTATTTTCTACAATAATATGATAATGTACAGCAAATAAAATGCTGTCTATGATCCTAGGGATCTCATGTTCAAAATATGCACAAGACCACGCATGCATTGTGACTGTAAGAAACACTCTGAATATAAGCGCTAAAATTCAAAATTGTAAAAGCACATTGTAAGCTGACAAAAAAAAAAAAAATCTGCTGACCATATTCGGCCTTTGAGACACCAATGGAGACACCTGGTTGTACATTCAACAGTAAATAATGACTTTACCTGAGTAGTAATGTTACGTGGCTTTTATGTTTGTGTATCTTTTATTATTTTTGAAATGTTTTACCATATACATTATTTCCTTTCATCATTAAAGGATAAAAAGACACATGCTATTTTTTTCAATTATAGGTTAAGTGACTCAGATGTACCTAAATGAATTTGTTAATTCATTACATGTTAGAAAATCACGTAGCAAGCCTTATGAGAAGAGGACAGAATGTATAAGCACTTTAAGGAACAAAAGAGAAAAATCTGTGGGTGAGGTTAATTTGAGGAGGCAAAGAACATTCTTGGATGATTGTCTGTTATAGAAAAGAAGTCCAGTATACCATTTTCAACAGGCAGAATTCACAGTGATTCAAATATGCTGAAATGTGGTAAGCGCTTTCTAAATGTGGTGAAATTGTATTTAACTATCCAAAATGACTACCTAAAGAATTATTTCTTTCTTTAAAGCTATAACTATGCAGTGCATCTGCAAATCATACTCCCTGACTGAGAATACATCTTTCATCCATCTTTCCAGGTGTCAATAGCGTTTATTCGTCAAATGCCAGAGGAAATGTTAAAGCACAATGAAGGTCAGAGAGTCATATTATTAACCTTGTATGGATTTTGTATAGAAATGGATGATAGCCAGACAGAGCTGAATGGATCACTTTAAACTTTAAGCTTTTGAAGTTTACAGTAAAGGCTTTGGAGCTCGGAATTTCTCTCATTAGGAAATTATCTGCTAAACTTTGCTTGCTTGTTGACTCACAGGCAGAGATTATAAAGCATAAGGGGTGGGGTGGGGCATGTGTGCATAGAACTTATTTAATGGAGTTACATCAGGGTCATAAGTATCCTAAAAATCACTGGAAATCGCACCTACACTAAAATCTCCACAGTTTTGAGATCCATGAGAATAGTTTCATGAAAAGGTATCATCATGATGAACCTAAATCAGGAAGTGGGTCAGCCTTAAGAAAACATCATAATCTCCACTTATGTGTGATTTTGCATTTCATAGGAAATGCATAGTCCAATTCTTCGAACTTTGCACGATGTCTAAAATAATAAATACAGATGGGATTCATGCATATTTTGCAAACCAAATAGAATGAGAGTTTACTGATTTTTAAAAACTATTTAGAAAGCTAGTCAAAAGCAGTGAGCAGCTTTAAGTATGCATTACAAGAGAATTTACCGAGTTCCACCTCAAGGTACTGCTTAGTCCTGTGGTTCAAAAAAAATGACCCAACCACTGCAAATAAAAAGCAATCATTATAGTAAGAGATTTAATTCAGAAAAACTGAAGAAAGTAAACATTTGTAAAGGGTCACACTCTGAAGAAGGGAAGTCTAGTACCTTATAAAAGGAAATTTTTATATTCAACAGTACTGCCAATCGTTTCTGGAAAATGCAATGTAACGTCCTCAGGACCTTGTGAATATTAAAAGTAAAAGCGGTCAGGCACGGTGGCACATGCCTGTAATCCTAGCACTTTGGCAGGCCAAGGCGGGCGGATAACCTGAGGTCAGGAGCTTGTGACCAGCCTGGCCGACATGGTGAAACCTCATCTCTACTAAAAATACAAAAATTAAACAGGCATGGTGGTGGGCACCTGTAATCCCAACTACTCGGGAGGCTGAAGCAGGAGAATTGCTTGAACCCAGGAGGCGGACGTTGCAATGAGCTGAAATTACGCCATTGCATTCCAGCCTGGGCGACAGAGCAAGACTCAAAAAAAAAAAAAAAAGTAAAAGCAATTTATCCGCTGTCTATACAAAATATTCTACTCCAGTTGTTTCTCAAAGTGATTTCCTGGAAACGTTAATTCCACAGAATTTCTACAGATAATGGGCATTAAATATGGGAAGTAGTTTAGAATAGTAGTTACGAGTGAGGGCTGTACGTGCAAAGAAGGCGAGTTCAAATTATGCCGCCACCACTTATGTGTCCTTGGACATATTTCTTAATTGCTTTATGTCTCAGTTTTCTGATCTATGAAACAGGGATAAAAATGGTATCTATATCACAAGATTCAGCGAGTATTCAAAAATAGTAGTTGCCATTGTTGTTATTAGTATTACTATTATGTTAAAAATTACAGTGGTCAAATATGTTTGGGATACACTGGATTAATAAAATGAGACATTTCTCTTCTGAAAGATTTTGGAGTTGTTATTATGCTAATACTCAGTGATCCTCCAAAGGACAAATAGAATTTGCAGTGTTTTCCAAACTTTTTTCACCATGAAAACTTTGTTTTCTCTGAGCACATTTTTCAAAACTAATGTCAAAGAACTGAGTTGAGGAATATAAATAAATAAGAAGGGGATTTCAAAAAGATTTTTTTAAAAAAGATAATACAAAAGAATCTTTCTACTATTACCACTCTAGTCAGGAGCTGTTTTCATGTCCCAGAGTCTTGCACAGTGGCTAAGAGTTCTAGTGCTAAAATCAGATAATCTGGCTTTGAGTACCAGCTCTATCATTTACCCACTGCGTGATCTTAGGCAAGATCATGAACTTCTCTGAGCCTCTACATCCTCATTTGCAAAACGGTAGTAGTCACCATGTTAGCAGTGGTATTATAGTTATCCATACGAGTCTGCAGCAACCTCAATTATTGCCTACTCAGAAGAAAGCATTTGACTGAGGGGCGTAAGGCAAAAGGAAAGACCAAGGCAAGTTTCAGAGCAGTAATGAAAGGAAGGAAGTTACCTTTGGAAGAGGACCAAGCAGGCGACTTGAAAGACCAAGTGTGCGGCTTGACCTCTTGACTTGGGGCTTTATACATTGGCGTACTTCTGGAGTCTTGCATTACTTCTCCCCACGCCTGAGATCTTATTGGAAACTGCTGATTGCTAGTTTCAGGTGTTTTCTATCTATTAGGAACCAGCCTTTGCCTGGTGCCAGCTGTGACTAATTATTTCCTTAGCGAGACAGTTAACAACCTCCTGTCCATCACCTGATGGTCGCCCGACACTCCTGGTGTGTGTGTTTGCTCTGCTCATACCTAACTAGCTACCTACAGAAACAACCATGCTTCTCTCACAGGATTGCCATGAGGACTGAAGGAACAATTGTAAAGCACTTGCTAAAATGTTACCAAGCTGGGGACAGAAATCCTGCTCAGGGCATCCTGGGTACTGATGTGTTTCTATTTCCCTATCCCTCCTTAAGCTTCTGACCTTCTGATGCTTCCTTTGACTTGAGAGCCAGGAAAATGCAGATGTCTTCAAATATTTCTCCCCGAGGACATATTATTGCTAGTAGAAGATTTTCTTGGATGATAACATAAATCCAAAACATAAAGAGGAGTGACATAACAAAGTATTCAGTTTCTCAGAGCCTTCATGACTGAGCCTGGCTGTAATTGTGTCACTACCAAGACTTTGGGACCAAAGGAAGCTGCTCTGAGAAATCCTATATTTTCTCTTGCCTTGTGTGCCTTTGCTTCTGCTGGATTTCTATATTTTTTTGTTATAAATTCGGAGATTAACATAATTATACTGGGGCCATTGTAGGGTTGGGGAGGAGTGTTTTTTCTATCTGCAGCCAAACAGAAATACTGTAGTACAGCAAAACCGTCTCAACAGTAAGCACACAATGAACGTTGTTAGCCAGCATTGCCATTCAGGGCCGGAGTCAGGGTTTGTGGGGCCAGAAGTTTAGACAATTTGGGGAATTCTGAAAAAAAAAAGAAATACAGAATTGTAACACAGACACAGAATCTTAGAAGGGATCTATGCAAGTGAGCCCTGAAGCATAAGCTTTATTAGCTTTACAATAAATCCACTGAGGAGAGAGAAAATACGTGTTCTTGCCTTCGAGGATTTTAAAATAAAACAAAGGAAATAAGACAATGCATAAGAGTTTAAGCAGCAATCAAAATATAAGAGAAAATTCAGTATGGTGCTATGTAAATGCCACAAAGCAGTATATAATACATTTCTAAGTGAATGGCACAGATAGTATATGTTGCAGAAACTCAAAAGATAATCACCATAAACTGAAACTGTTTTAGAAGGATTCACAGAGGAGGTGTCATTTTAATGAGGTTTAAAATGAAGGATTGGAGTAGGCAAAAAGAAAAAAATTCTGTGTATTCAGAGGTTCAAATCATTTAAGTTAAAAGGAGAAAACCTGCTTGGTCGGGGCAGAGGCTTTTGGAAGAACAGTAACTGAACACAGGTTCAGGAGCAGCCAATTAAAGGCCTTGAAATGTCTACCTAACAACTTTGAGCTTAACCTTGCAAGCTACTAATCTTGAAAACAATGGAGTGACATAATCAAAGTGGTGTTTCAGGACAGCTAGCCAGGTCATTGAGTGTGGAACAGAGGCACTGGCAGCAGGTACAGCCTCTGAGACCATATTATAATAGTCTAGATGGTCTTCAAGCACCAATGCTGATGATGGAAATGAAGGGACATATTCAAGGGATATCGGCAAAGAGGAATTATCAAGAATCGATAACTGTTTGTGGACAACAACAACAACAAATGACTAAGAGGTCAATGATAACACCAGACTCTGAAAGCTGGTAACTTGGAAAATAACTTAACTGAACTGGCAAGTTGGAAATGAAGAGATTTTGTAGGAGGACAAGTTCATATTTAGGTATATAAGGTTTAGTGTAAAGAAAATACAGGTTTTCATGTTCATGAGGAAATTGTAAATATTATTCAAAAGTGACTCCAAACAAAGAATGTCTACTGATTAAATTCTAGTAGCCTAAGAAATGGATTTTTTCAAATCAAAGTATCATCATATGTTGGAAGGTTCTGAGTTTTAAGTCAAGAAACCTCAGCTGTAGACATTATATATATATATATATATATAATATATACATAATTATATATCATCTAGTAATATAATGTAATATATATTATACCACAAAGCATTTTATTATTTTTATTTTAGATTCAGGGAGAACATGTGCTTATTTGTAACACAGGTATACTGCATGATGTTGCAGTATGGGCACTTAATAATCCCGTTGCCCAAGTAATGTACATGATACCTGATAAGTAGTTTTTCAATGCTTGTCCCCCACTTCCTTCTTCCTCCCTTTTGGAAATCTCAATGTTTATTGTTCTCATCTTTGTTTCCACATGCACCCAATGGTTAGCTCCCACTTGTAAGTTAGAACATGTGGTATTTGGTTTTTTTTATCTATTTTAATTTTCTCAGGATACTGGCCTTGTGCTGCATCCATGTTGCTGCAACGGACATTACTTCATTCTTTTTTATAGCTGTATACTATTGCATGGTGCATAATTACCTCATTTCCTTATCCAATCCAAGATTCATGAGCACCTGCTTTGATTCCATGTCTTTGCTGTTGTGAATAGTGCTGCAATAAACCTATGCTTATAGGTGTCTTTTTGGTAGAATAATTTATTTTCCTTTGGGTATATACCCAGTAATGGGGTTGCTGACTCAAATGGTATAAATCTATTATTAGTTCTTTGAGACATCTCCAAACTGCTTTCCACAGGGGCTGAGCTAATTTGCATTCCCACAAACAGTATACAAGGGTTCTCCTTTCTCCATGACTTTGACAACATCTGTCATTTTTTGACTTTCCAGTAATAGCGATTCTGATTGGTGTGAGATGGTATCACGTTGCGGTTTTGATTTACATCTCTCTGATGATTAGGTATGATGAACAATTTTTTGTATGTTTGTTGGCTGCTTTTATGTCTTCCTTTGAGAAGTGCCTATTCATATCCTTTGTCTGCCTTTTTCTTATTAAATTACTTATAGATTCTATACATTAGTCTTTTGTTCTATGCAGTTTGCAAATATTTTACTCCATACTATAGGGACAGGTATATTTAAGGGAGCTAACTGACTGGATCCTTCACAGGCAGAGTTCCAATATATTATGAATCTCTGAAACAGTCACCTAATTTTCCCTAAATTAGTCAGTGAAGTCCATAAATTTTAAAAACACAAAATATCTACATTTAAAATCTTTCTTCAAAAGCTATAGATAACTTGTTAGAACTAAGCATCACAATACTGCTGTACAATTTTTAAAGGGGCACAGTTTTAACTTATAGTTCCTAGAACTTCAAAGAACACTGTCAATTTAAATTTAGTGCTTTGCAAATACCACTCAATACCTGAAATAAAACAATTATCTGTATTGACTATGTGGACTAACATTTTCACATGAATTACTAATTAATATTGTTTCATGGATAATTTTCTTACATGCTTATCAAATATAGACTGTTCATTCCAAAAATCTCAATTCCGGTTCACACAATCTTTGGCCCAGCTTTCTGAGTCATTAAATTTTTCAGATACTCATGTTGAATAAGCTGAGGTATTTGGAAACTCCGAGAAAAATAATAGCTACTGTAAGAAAACATGGCCGCATATCATAATGTGTGTTCTTCATTTTTCTCACTGTTGGCACTCAAAATACAAAATCTCTAACCTTCATACTTCTAGAGTTCATTAAAAGGTTGCCCTGGTGCCCCCTGATGGTGCTGGGGGATCATTGAAAATTGGAGCATTCACTTCCATTAGTAAGCCTCAAGCCCCAGGTTTAAATGTGAGAGTTACAGGCCTGTGTATCACTGGTGTACTGTTCCATGTTGTGGTAGTTTTATATTCCAACTACCAAAATGAGACAGGAGATCAAATACCATGATATAAGTGAAGCAATGTGTTTCTTGTTCCCTTGGTCTTGATGTAATTAAGCTCAAATAACATTTTTACCAATATCCTCAAGGCAACGAATACTTCATTGCATTTTTTAAAATTCTATTAGTTGCATTAAAATGTTTTTACCCATAGCAAAATTTCTACAAAAAAAAATTTTGAAGAATTGCTTGTTGTGACTTAATACAGGTACATTACCTATGCAGTACATACAAGGTTTACCAACATAAACATGTTTTTATTCATTCCACAAACAAGTTTTGAGAATAGACTATATGCAGCTGCTCACTAGGTTCTATAAAGGAGAGTCAAAGAGCTAAAGATGTAATCCCTGCCCTTAAAAAAGTTATAATCTTTATTATTAGGGGAAAAAAACAAAATGCACATCTACAAACTAATGAACAGTTCAAAAAAGCATTAAGAACCTGATTGGAATACACAGAAAAGTAATAAAAACATAGAGATAAATATGAGTTGTAGTAGTCAGAAAAGCCTCCTGGTTTGGGAGGCCAAGGTGGGCGGATCACGAGGTCAGGAGATCGAGACCATCCTGGCTAACACGGTGAAACCCCGTCTCTACTAAAAACATAAAAGATTAGGCCGGTGTGGTGGCAGGCGCCTGTACTCCCAGCTACTCCCGAGAGGCGGAGGCAGGAGAATGGCGTGAACCCGGGAGGCGGAGCTTGCAGTGAGCCGAGATCGCGCCACTGCACTACTCCTGCCTGGGTGACAGAGTGAGACTCCGTCTTAAAAAAAAAAAAGAAAAGAAAAGAAAAGAAAAAAAGCCTCCTGGAACTTGAGCTGCACAAGAAAGGAAAATACATATATTTAATGTAACTATCTTATGGATGCTTATTTTGCCTATTTTAATTTCAATTTTTTTGAAAGCTGAAAGTAATCGCCTCAGTTAGCATTTATTGCTCACATTCTATGCTAGCTGCTGACTTTTATGTACCCTCCCAAAATGTAATAGAATGTTGTTCTGACCTAGGTATATATTGAATGCTTAGCAAGTGCTAATCAATTAATAAACATCATGACTTTTTTGTTCTAGATGATGAAGTTACAAAAACAAGACCTGTCCCTTGGACTTAGATGACTCACAATCTAATGGAAAAACACACAACTGTGAGCAACATGTGAGAAAACAGCATGAAAAGTGCCTTAATAGAAGTAGGGGCACACAGAGCACGGGGCCTCTAGTTCTGATGGTGGGAGCTGCAAGAGCGAGAGTGTGGCTGACTGCCAGGGTTACTACCTGAGACTGTCACTATAGCAGTTACTACTGTTACTGCTTGGGACCGTCATTACAAGACTGAAGGAAGGGACGAACGCAGAAATGAAAACTTAATACAAAAGAAACTGTTTTAAAGAAGACATGAAAACTTAAGACAAAAGTAACTATTTTAAGGAAAGGCTAGCATGGGGAAGAAGAGAGAAGGAGAGAAGAAAGACTCCCTGCTTCTAATGAGCAAAGGCAGCCGCCTAAGCATCTACAGCCCTTATTGGGTAACAAGAGCAGGGAGGAGGAGGTAACGATTGGTCAGCTGCTTAATTGATCACAGGTTCATATTGTTACTAACAGGCTTCAATTACGCCTAATCGTAGGAACCACTTGCGCCTGGGTTGTGACTGACCTCAGCAGTCTTTCTGGGCGGCAGACGCAGTTTGTCAGTTTGCCAACATTCTGCATTTATGAGAACAGTTTGTTGCTTACTCATGTAGCCTCCAGTGGTATACTGAGTTGATCACGACCCTCACTCTTTCCGCCTCCAACACGGGAGTGCCAGCAAAGACCTCACAGGATGTGCAGGAACAGAACAGGAAAGGAAACAGTTATGTTACAAATGGAGGAAATAGCATGAACAAAAGCCCAGAACCATGAGATAGCTGAGGGGAGATAGGAGATAAACGGAGCATAAGGGACATGGTGGATGGGGCGTGATGAAAGAAGTGATGTTGGCAGAAGGGGTGCAGATCACTGAGCTGACATTCGAGTTTATGCTGAAGCCATGTGGACCACTGAAGGTTGTAAGCAGGGAATTTACTGACAAGTTTTATGTTTTAGAAAAATCACTATGGAAGATGTATAGAAAAACCAAAACACTCTGAGAAATCTGAAGTCTTAATCCAAATTTATTTTATTTATTAATTATTTGTTTCTATCCCGATTTCTCCTAACTACACTGGTAAGGTTTTATTTTCAAAGTTATAGTCTTTATTTCCAATGGTTCTTATGCAATGTTTATAAGACAAAAGGATCTTAAAGAATACAATTGAACTCAATTCAATAGAACTCTATTTTCTCGCTACAACATAATACTTCTTGAATTTCCTAGTGCAGAATACATTCAAGTCTTTTAAATTATTCATTCCCCATTATGTAGAGAAAATTAACCAAACTGACTCTGACTAAAGAAAAGAAAACAAAATTTAAAGCCAAGAATAAATTATGATAAAACATTGGTCTAAACAGCCATTTAGAAAACTATCCCATCGTAAAAGCAGAAGAAATTTGTGTGCAAAAAAGTTTAAAACTCCATATAGTCAGTGGTATGATTGTTCATTTGCTCCTAAACATTCCCAAATTGTGCCTAACTCTGAGCTACTTTTGCTTAGAAATAGAATTAGAATGATTTTTAAAATGTATTCTATTTATTTTTTTCCTCTTTTTATAAATAGATTATGTTCTTTCTAACATCCCAACATGGTCAAAGGCATTCTTCTAGCAACTCGCAAATTTCAGTAAAACTGTCACCTTCAGTAAAAGTTCAAAATGTCAAAATAATTTTAAATTTAGTATGAAATTTCACTTGTTTTGCTATGTAGTTTGGAAATATCAAATGTTAACCAGAAAATGTATGAAACACAATAAAAATGAGTATGTGTGGACAAATAAGACATTTTTAAAATTCTGGTAATCAAATGTTCTCTGGTATGAAACGTCTTAAGCAAGATTCATATATATATGAATATATATGTATATATATACACACACACACACATACACACAAAAAAAAAACATTTGTAGACACCCTAATGCTCAACTGCTGGTGTATTCTAAAATAGCTTGATGCTTACCAAATTCTCAACTGCTTAGTCAGCTTTCTGTTAAATTTATGAAATTCCCACTTTATGCCAGCACTACATAAAACAGAATTTGACCCAATGAGTTGATTTTTGTTTTTTGTTTTTTAAATTAGGTTTCCACAGAGGAATATCCTACAACCTATAGTAACAAAGAGGTTTTATTTGGCCAAAAACGGTATGATTCCTGAAAGGCAAAATCAAATTTCTCTAAACTGAAAGAAATACACTTCTAAAAGTCAATAAAGGAGCAGATAACACTCTTTTAATGGACAGGTTTTGTTCAGCTATATAACCTTTTTCTGACAGATTTCATTTTTAAAACTCTCTACAGGAAAATTACTAATGATTTTCAAATCAGAATAATAGGAAACCAAGCAACATTAAAGTTAGGGCTGAGTTGTATCAGAATTAGAGAATTTTATTTCAAGATGTTCCCCTTTCATCTATAAGGGCAAAGAATTACAAGAGTTGTGCGATTATATTAGGTCAATAGAATCAATGTAAATACACAGTTTGGGTAAGTAGGCTAAAAACTCCTTGCTGTATCATTTCTGTAGGCTAAAAACTCCTTGCTGTATCATTTCTTCAACTGTAGGATTTTACATTTTGCCCACCTTTTTTCAAATAGTTGCCTCTATTCGCTACCTTGCCTACATATACAGGGCCCTAAAAGATAAGCAATAATTCATGTAGGTTTCTGTGGCCATTTTTTTTATCCTTCTGACAAATCCATTTGAAATTATATATTTTTATATCTAATACTACCACTGAGTTATGATATTTAAAGATTTTAATTGTAGATAGGCAGAAAATATCGTAAAATCAAACTGGCATCTTCTCTTAGTAGGACAATCAGCTTATATTTTATAAAGGATATGAAGGGTCAGCAAAATAAAATTATTAACTTTAATTAGGTTCAAACATGGATGATGTAGGTATGTTAAAATCACTAGGATATTTACTTTGAATCCAGAAAAATTAGCATATAGAGAGAACTATTGATACAAGTTACTTTTTATAATAAAAAGTGAGGTTTATAATCAAAATTTATTAATTTGAAATGATATCTATATAAAAGTATATATATAATTTTTAGGTAATCTAATAATCCTATATAGTATCACACATATATCAAATTTAAGTAAGATTTAATGAACAGCATTTTTACCCAGTAAGATGTAAAATAATATTTAAGTTTTAACTACATCTTACTTGTAAGCAAGATATAGAACAAAGTACGTAAATGAGACTTAAAATTATATAAAGTCTTTACTCCAGAGCCAAAAAAATTATATAGTCTCCTATGTGTAATTTTAGCAATTAAAATGGTGAACTAGATACAAACAATATCATAGGAAAAATGTAAAAATCTGAATTCGGAAAAGAAAAAGTTACAAGGTCTTCATTGGGTTATACAAAATTATAATACTGTAAAGCTTGTCCCACTATAGAACAAGGTGATCTCTGAAATTACAAGCCAGTGAATTCAGAACTATAAAAAGGAAATATTACTTCATAACCTTTAGTTAACCTATAGCTACACTTCCACAGAAGGTCATAAAATCACATTCTGTGGTTGGATTTAAAAGCTGGATAATTTTATAGCCACTCATAATATCAGGGCTCAAGATCATTGCCTTTAGTGGCTGGAATAGAATTCTTTGATCATCCATATGAATATACTGCTAGGTAAGGAGGTAGATAGTAAAACATGCAGCCTTACGGGTTAAATATTGGTTTCTTGGAGTCAAATGACAATGTTTACCACCTTTGTCTTCTTTTAAGCATGCTTAAGATTAGTGAAGGTGAATAGAAGCCACAGAAAGCTGCCTTTGTAAGTCAAAACGTATATTTCCCTTGTGGAATCTTCCCAACAATTGATAGAACCATGTGTACAGTAAGCCTACATCTGATAAAACACTGGCATCAAATGGAAGCTAGAATTTCCATTTCCAGGTTCTTTCAACCTGGGTGACCTTCCATTTCCAAGCTGAAACTTCACTTTCCCAGCATCTAAGGTGCTTCTCTTAGATGGTACCTTAGTTTGTAAGTATACTTCCTGTATCTATCATCTGCTTAAAAAGTACCACTTACAATGTCCTCTCTACGCAAGCTTTTAAATTATTTTAAAATGTACTATCCTTTCATCTTTAAATATTTTTTAAATTGTCGTTTCCTGCCTCTGTGCCTTTGTTCATTCTGCCTCTATCACTGTAATGCTATTCTCTGTCCCTCCTACTTCAAGGATCCAGTTTCTTCCTGAAGTGATCCCTGATGTTCTCAGATAAAAGTGATATTCCAAACCTCCCTCCCCACCTACCATGTACATCCCAAATATTATATCTGTGATTTTGATATTTATCCATCTCTACCTTATTCTAAGAGTATGTGTAAATTCATTTGGCTTACCTCTTGCTTAGCTCTCTTCTAGAATGTAAAAATTTTATAAATAGGAGCTGTACCCAAGTCATTTCTTGTGTGTTTCACAGCACCTAGTCCACTGTCTTCAACAAGGGCAATACTGTGTGCTTCCTTGGCAATAATGCATGCTAAGAATTACTTTGTGGCATACCTGTTATGGATGTTTTTATATAATTCTTACCTTTCCTCTTCCAGCTGGCAATTGTTTTCTTTCTTGGTTACTTTTGAAATTTCCAGTAATCAAAATAATAAAAAGAAAATTAACCTCTACAAAAATACAGTTCTTAGATCCAGTATTCACGCAAAAAGAATAATGCAGTAAAAATAGATAAATAAAAGCATGCTGAGGTTGTCAGTATTTTAAACACAGTTATGTGGTGTTTCTTGGTAGAGTTGAATGAAGCACCAAAAATATCATTTTGTTAACCTGCTTCTTCCATCTAGTGGCAAAAAGCAGGAAGAAACAATGTCCTAGAAAAACACCACGATCAAATGGTTCTAAATGCCATTTCAGGAAATACTGATGATAAGAGTTCAACATTCAAGGTTTAAATGATAAGTATATGATAAGTATTTTAAAATAATTTTAGCAAATTGATAGTGCTCAGCTAGGATAACTGTCAAAGTTACTTAAAGTCATACATGTATTTGCATGCTTTCACAAAGACTTCAACTACATATGTAAAGCTATGTATCACCCCACATTAAATTGAGATGGATTTATTTTGGTATACATAATTATGGATCTGGAACAAACTGTTGGATAACTATTTAGAATGCCATTATTTCCTCAGCTATAAGCACATGGCAACCATGCTGTTATAAGTTTTAAGAGGTACAATTGAGAACCACTGCAATTGGACTTCACCATTGGAATTGCCAGTGAAAATATTTCTGCAATAATAGGCAGTGAAAAATTTTGTGACCTGAGGCATAGGGTCAGTTGGAAGGGGGAGAGAGGGAAAGTTTAAAGGAGGTACAATCAGCTGCTCTGCATTGTTAGAGCTGCTTCAAAGACATTAATGAAAAATAATATGCAATGGACAGCATAATTGTGCATTCTCTGCACTAAAAGGCCACCAGCTTATCCCTAATACATAAGGTTTGACTGCCCTTCTAACATTTTCTGTTTGCCTCACTGCAAATGTAATTAATGTTTTAGAAGTTAAATGTGGGTTATGCAGAAGTGGAAAGAATGTTCTCCAGGACAGCAACTTTTTCCCGTTCTTCTTTTCAAGTGAACAAGTTAACCATGTGTAATGGTGATAAAAATAAAAAGCCGTCAAAGTATTTAATATGTAAAGACTATAAGGGAAAATATAAGTGTCCATGAGTATCATAATTATTTTAAACTCAGTTTTTAATAAAAGAAAATAAACTTTTTGTTTATTTCCTAATTTTTAAGAAGAGAAAACCTTGTGTCTTCTGATCTCTGAAACCCTTTCCCAGATGAATAGGGACCAGCTACAAAAGTTCATTGAATATTTAATCACGGCACACCACCACACTGAAGTTCTTCCTACCGCACAGAAACTGGCAGATGAGATTCTATCCTCCAACTCAGAAATCAACCAAGTGAACAGTGCTCCTGACCCCACAGCTGGGGCCAGCATTAACAATGAGAACTGTTGGCGTTTGGATGAAGAAGAGGTGAAAGAACAAGTGAAGCTTTTTCTCTCCCAGGGGGCTTAGTATGGCTCTGGAAAGCAACTCAACTCAATATTTGCCAAGGTTCGAGAAATGCTGTGGATGAGAGATTCCAATGGAGCAAGGATACTGATGCTAATAACTGACCAGTTTATGGCTGACCCATGACTCACACTCTGGAGTCAGCAAGGAACAAGCCTGACAGGTAAAGTCAGGCAACTCTGGCATGAGCTAGGGCTCTATGGGTGTGCATAACTTTAAATCCACACTGCAAACTGGAGGAGAAATCCTGCTGGCTGCAGCTGCTGCAGAAGTGGAGCGACCTGGATGTCTGTCCCCTGGAGGATGGAAACTATGGACATGAGCTGTCCAACATCACCAATGCACTTCCCCAGAATGCCATTCACAGCCCAGACTCCTTATCCAGACCAAGATGAACGATATTCACAAGGGCCATTGAGGGCCATGAATTACACTGACAGGACAGCCACCTACAGCGAATAATCAGCAGTGATGTTTACACAGCTCCTGCCTGCCGGCAGGAAAGTGAAAGAGTACTCTTTAATTCCCCAAGCCAGCCACTGTGCCTTGAGCATGTGCCTACAGCCTGTGCTCAGGTTGATTCCCTACGTTCCCATGGTTATCCAAAAGAGGCCCTCAGACTCACAGTGACCATTATTAATACTCTGAAGCTGCAGCAACAGCGGCAACTGGAAATCTGCAAGCATCAGAAGAAAGAATTGTTGCAGAGAGGAACGACAACCATCACAAACCTGGAGGGCCAGGTGGGCCACCCCCGATCCCATTGGCTGCCTGTTTCTCACTTTGACCGAGGCCTGCTGCCTGAATGATGACGGCTATCTGGAGATGTCAGATATGAATGAAAGCAGACCCCCTGTGTACCAACATGTACCTGTGGCTGCAGGCTCCCCAGACAGTAGTAAGTCCTACCCGTCATTGGCCCTGGAAGTTGCATTGATGGACCTGGGTCGACAGAGGATAATGCCTGAATACCTCTACGCACAGGACAAGGTGTCCCATAATGAAGAGCAGCTCCTAAGCCAACTCCAAGAGCTGCAGCTTGACGATAAGCTAGTGCAAACACTGCAAACAGTGTATCTTACTGCTGGAAGGGGGCCCTTTCAGCAGTCTGGGAGAAGTCATTCACTAAAAGAGTGTTCCCATGCATACATACCTTTGCCAAGTATTTGTTCTCAGCTCTGCTGTCTCATGGTCCAGACCTGTCCTATAAATTAGCCTGACGTGCCATGAGGTTACCTGCTTTAGAAAACTCAGCTTCTGGCCAGGCACGGTGGCTCATGCCTATAATCCCAGCACTTTGGGAGGCTGAGGTGGGTGGATCATCTAAGGCCAGGAATTCAAGACCAGCCTGGCCAACATGGAGAAACCCCATCTCTACTAAAAATACAAAAAAAAAAAAAAAAAAAATTAGCCAGGTATGGTAGCAGATGCCTGTAATCCCAGTTACTCAGGAGGCTGAGACAGGAGAATCACTTGAACCCAGGAGGCAGAGGCTGCAGTGAGCTGAGATCATACCATTGCACTTCAGCCTGGGCAAAAAGAGTGAAACTCCATCTCAAAAAAAAAAAAATGAAAGAAAGAAAACTCAGCTTCTGTAGGTGACACATCCCACCCTCACCATATGGAATCACAGCAGTGTGAACCGGCCTCTGCCATGCTGACTGCTGCCAAAAGAGACACTGAGATTCTGAACAATTCTGGAAGCAATACAGAATCAAAGCACATTCATTCTTCCTTCCTCATCTTCAAACTGGCCCAAATGCATTCAAGATTGCTATTCCCACTGACAGTAGTACTGACAGCACCCTGCTCAACGTGGCCCTGGGACTTGGTTTACAGGTGATGCAGATGACCTTATCAATCCTTAACTGGAGATGCCAGGAGGTAGTAGTGTGGTTGGTGACCTGTGCTACAGAAGTGGGTGATTCTCCCACCTCCATCTACAACCAGGAAAAAGGAATTTCTAGGCCCTACTCTTGGGATGGAACAATGAATCCTTAGAGCTTTCATATTCCTATTCCTAATGGCCTAAGAAAGGATGGGGCTGATGGTGGGAGAAGATGGCCTCTGTTCAGCCAGCCCAAGCCCTGTTCTCACTGCTTGAACCATATCCTGATGTCAGCAGAACTTTGAACCTCTCATCAGAGACATATCTAAGAGAGTGAATTTTCAGCTGCCAATACTCAAGTGCTCCCTTGGGAGGTAGTGGGCCAGGTGGTTTCATCCCTATCCCTGTCCATGCTTGTGAGAAACCCTAGACAACTTGGAGGCTCAGGACCCTTTCTAAAGCCCAAAGCCCCAGCACAAGACTCTACCCTGAGAAGCCTCACTTCAGCTAGAACCCCTGGCAGATCTCCAACCCTGTCCTGGGGGCAAGCAAACCACAGGCTCCACTGCTCCATCCTTGTGAGAGGCTAACAGCACCTGAAGAAAACTTCAACCTCCTGACCGGGGAAGGAAGGGTTAGCAAGAGACCTCAAACAGGGTCGGGCCATCTGGGATGCTCCCCTTTCCCTGGTTTGCCTCAGATCATCTCAAACTTGCTGAGGAGGAGGGAGAACTCATCTATGCAGGCCAAGTTCAAACTCCAAATGGTAATCTGGGCAGACCTGAATCAGGACCCAGATAGCACGGCTGAGCTCAGGCTCTCCCTGACATGTGTGCGGGCCCTGTTGATCATCTTGCAGAGCTGGTACACACTCTTCACTTCTGCTGAGGCTACTAGTATTGTAGCTACCACAGCTGTATCCCACACCACTATCCTGCGCCTCAGTCTTGACTATCCACAGCGGGAGGAAGTGGCTAGGTGTGCTCACACACTGGCCCTGCAGTATGCTATGAAGCATCCACAGAACTGTGCCCCTGTCAGCGCTTACACTCTGTGAGGAAGACCACATTGCCTTTGAGGCAGCCTACCAGATTGCCACTGATGCTGAAGTTGATGGCATGAGCCATTCACAGCTGTTCACCATCACCCGCTACATGGGGTTCCGTGGCTACCCGCTCCATGCCTTCAAGCTGGCCTTATCGGCCATGAGCCATCTTAACCTGGCCTACATCCAGGATACCCACACAGCCACACAGCCATCAATGATGTGCTCTGGGCTTGTGCCCTCAGCCACTCTCTGGGCAAGAATGAGCTGCCAGCTCTCATCCCCCTGGTGATAAAGAGTGTGCACTGTGCCATAGTGCTTCCAGACATCCTGTGTGCGACACTGCACAATGACTGCACCTGGCCTGGCTGGCACTCCAGGCTGCTGTAGCTCTGGAAAGTTCATGTCCATTGACAAATCTCCATTGTGCCAGTTGCCAATGATGCTGATGACACCATCAATACTTATATCAACACTACACACTCATGCCTACCACACATCAGCTCTTGCCACTATGGAAAGTTCATTGAATTTCTGAGCAAGGCTCTGGAGACCCTCCTGCTGCCCCAGGATGACCACCTGCAATTTGCCCAGTTCATCGACAACCTCAAATAAATCTACAAAGACAAGAAAAAGCTGATGCTGCTGGTGCGAGAGCGCTTTGCCTGAGGAAGCAGATAGCTCACCACCAGGGCAGACTGGGTCCCCAGGTAGGATCAGGTCAGGCCAAGGACACTGAAACATTTGTCCATGAATGTGTCCTTTCTTTTTGCCAGATTTCTCTTCCCCATTCCTCTTAAATCTCTCTCACCACCTAAACGTTTGTTCCCCATCTCTGTGCCTCCTCTATTCATTCTCTCACCAAATGAGCTTCTAAGCACCAGTCTCCGTCTGCCATCAGATTAGCTGCTTTAGGTGCACAGTTCTCTTCTCACCCCGTACTTGCTTTCTTCCCCTGCCTTTCTATCTCAGTCTTCCTCTGCCTACTTTTGCCACAGTCTCATTGCTCGCTGACTTGGAGGCTAGGGCTGGTCTGCACTTAGCCTCTCCCTTCCTGACTAATTTCTAGACCCAGTGGGCAGCCCTGTCTTAGCCCTGGCTGACCTCCACAGTGTATCATCATGTTCCTGCTACCTTCCTGACCCCTATGCTCAGTCTGGAATTGTTGTAGGAGGTAACAAGGGCACTCAGAAGAGTCAGTTGGATACCAGTGTCTTGGTGTTTACTGTTTCACGTCTTCATTCCTGAGTTGGGGATGGGGTGTGACAGAGAAGGGGTGGTCTAGCTAGAATGCAAACTAAGAACTTCTCCATCTGCTTTACTTTTTCTTCTTTGACAAACTGTTACCTTTTTTACTCCAAAATGACCAAGAAGTTGTGTTAACCGTTTGTGGCTCCTCAAGTCTTACCATCCAGCCAAGGGCCACTACAATGTCTCAGCCCAATGTGTTGGTTAAAAAAGAGAAAGAGAGAAGCCACTCTCCTGTCTGTATCACAATTGCCCTTTTTTGGCAAGTGTGTGAACTCACAGTGCTTTTCTATGAATAAACCATGGATCACATAAAAGATCATTTTTCTGAAAGAAAAAGAAAATCCTAAACCCAGAAGGGACCAGCAAATAATTATAGAAGATTATAGATTTCCTGTGAGTGCATATGGATCAGGATGACCTGATGCTATAAACTCAAATTCATGTGTTGAAATCTTATTCCCTATGTGATGGTATTTGGGGGTGGGGCCTTGGGAGGTGATTAGGTCAAGAAGGCAGAGACTTCATGAATGAGATTCATGCCCCTATTAAAGGACCACAGAGAGCTCCTTCATCTCTTCTGTCATGTGAGGACACGGTAGAAACATGACTGTCTATGAACGAGGAAGCCAGCCCTCACCAGACACAGAATCTGCTGACCACTTCAGCTTGGGTTTTACCATCTCCAGAACTGTAAGAAATAAATTTGTTTGTACGCTACCTAGTCTATGACCTTCTGTTTTGGCCCCTAGATTAGCTAAAGTGCCAACATATCAACTTGTACACATAATTTGTGGAAACTCTGATGCCAAATCTTTGATGGCAAAAGGTGATTGGTCTGCTGGAGAAATTAACCTACATGATCCCTCTTTTCACAATAAACCAGACAGTCAAAACAGGCA
Source organism: Homo sapiens (assembly GCF_000001405.40). Lineage (NCBI taxonomy): Eukaryota > Metazoa > Chordata > Mammalia > Primates > Hominidae > Homo > Homo sapiens. The sequence continues at coordinate 129,134,444 of NC_000004.12, read as the reverse complement.
AAAGTAGGTCAAGGTCTTCTAAAAGCCATACCTGAAAGGTTTCCAATGACAGTTGATTCGATAGTAATTCAATCACACAAACAACCACAACAAAAACACACAACTATCAGAGATTTTCAGGATAGCCTCAAGAACACCATCTCACATGAGTTAAGAAGGCATGAAGTTTCAAAAAGTCAAACTTTATTAAAATGTCATTTTAGAAACTTGTAATTCTGATATTATGAATAAATCTTAGGACAGGTGGCGGCATGGAGACCCCAGGGCACAAGTGGTGAATTTGGAAGCTTCAGTTCCTATATCCTTTGGAGATGCCCCCCTGGCCCCTGCATCCCCCACCCACCTGTCAAGAAGAGCCCATCCTTGGCAGCACATCAGGGACAAACAGCCCAGATGCCCAGTTGAGGACAGACGTCCATGCCTGGAGGAAGAGACCACCTCTGGGGGCAGGAGGAGCTGCTGGAACGCCTCCTCACAGGCTCCTTTTCCTGCTCTGTAGCACTTTTTGCAGGCAGATATACAACCCCAGCAGCAGTAGCCCAAGCAGGTCCTGCAGGAGCACAGCAACAGCTCTGTTTAATGAGAGAAGCTTCTCTCCAGCGAGGCAGAAGAGCCCAGGCTGCACACCCTGGTCTCCACCTCCATGACTCCCACTGTGCCCAGGACCAGGAGCAGTGTGGGAGCTGCTGGCTGGGGCCATGTTGGCCACCCCATCTCTGCCACCTCTAGCTCCAGCCACACTTTCAGATCCAGGGCTGAGGCCAGTGGCTACAGTAGGTGCCATGATGTCAGGCAGCTCCTCATTGGGCTGGTCCTTGGCTGTACCAGGGCAGCAGCAAGAGGGCTGTGGAACTTCCTCTAGCTCCAGCACTGTCCCTGAGGGCGCTCTTCCCCTGGTGCTGGCACTGGCTTAACAGTGCTGGAAGTACCTGTATTGCTGCATATGGAGCAGGAGCTGAAAAAGGAGAAAGGGTCACAAACATCAGTCACTTTCCAGTGGAATTTCCAAACACAAAAACAACCTCATTGAATTTAAAGGAATTCAGCCTGAAAATACCACCCCCAGAAAGTCTTCCAGACTGCAAGCCACCTCACATGTGCCTGTGCCTCGAGGGGCTCCAGAGGCTCCAACCAGATGAGGACAAGGACAACGTGCAGATGAGGCCCTGATGGGATCACTAGTGAGGCCTGCCCTAAGGTACCTGGGGTGCCTTCAGTCAAATGGCCAGAGGTGTCTGGGGTGAGGGATGAGCCTTCATCGACATCATCAGAAAAGGCTCTCACTCCCGCCATTCCTGAAGCAGGAGCCTCAAGATGTGGGGATGCGGCATGAGAACAGCTTCCTCTCCTGAGCGACTCCCACCAAGTGAGCTGGCTACAGGGCTGAGTCTAAGATATGGGCGCCTGGTTACCAGAGTTATCTTCTTCTGTTCAGGTCTGTCATCAAGGAAGTGAGGTCGCTTAAGTTTCCATCCTCTTGGCCCCTTCCTTCCATAAGACCTGCTCAGGACCCCACTGAGGTGCTGACTGTTCACCCTCCCCCCAGGTCAACTCCTTACCTATACATAGTTATGTCTACCCAGGGCCTGCTTGTATGCCTGCACCTGATGTCCACCAGGAGCCAGATGTTCTCCTCAGGCCTGATTTCCACCTGGGGCTTGTGTGTCCACCTGGGCCTGATGTCTGCCTTGGGCTTATGTCCCACTTGGGACCTTGTGTTCACCTGGAGACTGGTATCCAGCTGGGGCCTGATGGCCTACTGGATCCTGTTGTTCACCTGAGGCCTGGTGTCCACCTGGGGCCTGGTAATCACCTCGGACCTGGGGATCAACCTGGGGCTTGGGTGTCCACTTAAGGCCTGATATGCACCTAAGGCCTCAGTTTTCACCGGGGTCCTGATGATCACCTGGGGACTGTGTGTCTAATGTCCACCTGGAGCCTATGTATCTACCTAAGGCATGGTAGATGTCTACATGAGTCTGGTATTCAACATGGGCCTAATGTCCACCAAGGGCCTTGCTGTCTATTTGGGACCTGGTTGTCAACTTGGCACCTGATGTACACCTTGAGTCCAGTGTCCACCTGGGACCTGATGTCTACCTGGAGGACTGGTGTCTTTCTGAGGCGGGAGGATCCCTGGGCCCCAGGAGGTCAAGGCTGCAGTGAGTTGTGATTGTGCCACTGCACTCCAGCCTGGGTGACAGAGTGAGACCCTGTCTCAAACAAATAAACAAACAAAAAACCACACAAATTATATAGCTGTACAAAAATATTTTATTTCTTTATAACCTTATTCTACAAGCTTTTTTCTATTATTTATTTATTTTACTTTTAAAACTTTTTTATAAAACCAAGACACAAACACAAACAGGGTCAGTATCATCAATAGCACTGTCCTCCACCTCCACATCTTGTCCCACTGGAAGGTCTTCAGGGGCAGTAACATGCATAGAGTAATGGGGGAACCTGCCCCCAATATTTCAACATAGGTTCTTTCTATTTTCCGAAAGTGTCAGCCGGCTGAGAAATAAAGAGAAAGAGTACAAAACGAGGAATTTTACAGCTGGGCTGCCGGGGGTGACATTACATATAGGTAGGATGGTGATGCCCACCTGAGCCTCAAACCAGCAAGTTTTTTATTAAGGGTTTCAAAAGGGGAGGGGGTGTAAAAACAGAGAGTAGATACAAAGATCACATGCTTCAAAGGGCAAAAAGCAGAACTACTGATAAGGGTCTATGTTCAGTGGTGTACATATTGTCTTGATAAACATCTTAAACAACAGAAAACAGGGTTCGAGAGCAGAGAATTGGTCTGATCACAAATTTACCAGGATGGAGTTTTTCTCCACGCTAGTAAGCCTGAGGGTACTGCAGGAGACCCAGGGCATATCTCAGTCCTTATCTCAACCACATAAGACAGACACTCCCAGGGTGGCCATTTATAGACCTCCCCACAGGAATGCATTCCTTTCCCAGGGTATTAATACCAATATTCCTTGCTAGGAAAATAATTTAGTGATATTTCTCCTACTTGTACATCTGTTTATAGGCTCTCTGCAAGTAGAAAAATATGGCTCTTTTTGCCTGACCCCACAGGCAGTCAGACTTTATGGTTGTCTTCCCTTGTTCCCTAAAAATTGCTGTTATTCTGTTCTTTTTCCAGGTGCACTGATTTCATATTGTTCAAACACACATGTTTGACAATCAATTTGTACAGTTAACACAATTATCACAGTGGTCCTGAGGTGACGTACATCATCAGCTTACAAAGATAACAGGATTAAGAGATAAAAGTAAAGACAGGCATGAGAAATTATAAAAGTATTATTTGGAAACTGATAAATGTCCATATTAAAATGAAATCTTCACAATTTATGTTCCTCTGCCGTGGCTCCAGCCGGTCCCTCCGTTCGGGGTCCCTGACTTCCCACAACAATGGAGTTGTCATCTCCTATGATAATAATGCCTTCTTCTGGAAACCTCCTGAAGGACCTGCCTGAGGTTGTTTCATAGTTAACTTAAAAAAAAATAAGTAGTAAGCATATACTCTAAAATAACAATACAAACTGTAGAATAGTAAATACATAGAACATTAACATCATCATTTGTTATTTTCATCAAGCATTATGCACCATACATAATTTTATGTTCACACCCACATCACCACAAACATGTAAGTAATGCATAACACTGTGACATTACAACAGATGTTGTAATGATGGTGCTATATGTGATAGTTCCATTATAATCTTATGGGACCACTGTCTTATGTGTGGTCTGTTGTTGACCAAAATGTCATTATGCAGTGCAGGACTGTATTTGAAAATGGTACAAATATACTCAGAAATACACGAAAGATGTCTAGGCACAGTGGCTCATGCCTGTAATCCCAGCACTTTGGGAGGCCAAGGCGGGCAGACCACCTGAGGTTGGGAGTTCAAGACCACCCTGACCAACATGGAGAAACCCTGTCTCTACTAAAAATACAAAATTAGCCGGGCGTGGTGGCACATGCCTGTAATCCCAGCTACTCAAGAGGCTGAGGCAGGAGAATCACTTTAACCTGGGAGGCGGAGGTTGCAGTGAGCCGAGATCACGCCTTTCACTCCAGCCTGGGCAACGAGAGTGAAACTCTGTCTCAAAAAAACAAAAAAAGAAAAGAAATACATGAAAGATGGAACATTAGGGCAACAACAAAAGACATGGAAATTTTATTTTATGCCTTATTTTATACCAGGAAGTTGACATCAATGTCATTAAGGTTTGAGGTTCTGATTAGTGGAACTTAGAGAGATTAGGGACAAATGAAAAAGAATAAAGAAATGTTATTTTTTTCTGTGATCCCCATAAAATTACTCAATATGGAATCAATGAAATTTCTGCAGCTTTGATTAGACAGATAGATGATAAGTAGATGATAGATCAACAGAGATAGAAATGGGTAGATAGACAGACAGACAGATAGAGATGTGATCATGATTCTTCACTTAACCAAACTTTAGTCAGGCTCTTAAACCTTTTCCTAAGTCCATCTGTATTTCCTTGTAAGATTCACTTTTAGGAAGAACCCTCCACCCTGGATGCCTCATCACCCTGAATGTCTCATCTCGCTGGATATCTGATAGGGCTCCTCATCCCTTGCCATTATATGAACATGATGGAAATTGCTGTTTGGGGATTGCTTCTCATCTCATTCCATCCCCTTGCAATTCCTTCAGTGGCTGGAACACAGACTATTGGGGGCAGAGTGCCGACCTGGCTCCCCTGCTCTGAGCCAGGCTATTCTCCTGATTTCTCTACACCTCTTGTGTCTTGACCTATAACATGGGAACATTAATAATAAATGGCTGTTATTAATTAATACATGTATGCATTAGAACGTATCATAAGCACTGTGTGAATATTGGCTGTTATTGTTTCTTCTGTACTCTCTACAGACTCAATTTCATTCATTAATCCCACTATTGAAGAACCCTAAGTTGGCCCAAGGCTTCCCTACAAGAAAGTACAGTGTGATTAAGATCTTGGCTCCTGTCTTCTGTGGCCCGGTGGTGACACCTGGGGTGCTGTACTCAGTAGTGGGAGTTCCGGGTCAGGGGAAAATATGTATCCTGAACAGGTGTGACAATTTGCTGGCCAGAGGAGCTGTGCTGGTCACAATTTCACCAGCCATAGATTAAAGTCCTATTGCCTCACATTCTCACCAGCATTTAACATTATTTGATGTTATACTTTATTCCCTAACAGGAATATATTTTATTTATAGGACAGAATGGTTATTTGTCAGTTAGAACATTTTTCATATGCTTATTTGTCTCTTCAGTTTCCCTGTCTATAAAGTGCCTGTTCATTTCGTTTGCTAATTTTCCTTTTGGTTTTCATAGCTGATTTGTAGGAAGTCTTTGTATTGCTTACTGCTTCTAATTGTTGTGTGAGTTTTCTCAATCTAACCTCTTTCTTTCCAGTTTGTCTATCACGACCTCCCCTGAACATGGAGCTGCTATTCCATTGTAGTCAAATCTAATAATATTTTTCATTCTGATCAGAACTTTGGGGTCTTGATTAGAGAATCTTTTCCCCTGCCCAATATCACAAAGATGTTTCACCACATTTTCTCATTTAAGTTTTTAAATTTTTTTAAGTTTTATTTTTACACTGAAGCTTGTAAAGCCTTAGTCCACTCCCATTTTAGAGGGAAAGGTGACTAGGGAGAAGATAGAAACCAACAGATCATCTACTATACTCAAAATTGATTTTGGGGTTAAGAGTCCTAAGGCAAAGGTTCTTTATCTTCTTCTATGGAAGAGAGGGGGACAATCTTATAGAGGACAGAGTGAAAGAAAGAAGAAAGGATCATGGGATGACTCCATCTGGGAAAACAGTGACAGGAGGTGGTTTCCATGTCTCCAGGATTCTTGTGGCCAATCTTTCTGGATTAAGCCCATGAAAGGATGCCAACTAACTGGGCGATTATTGGAGCCACTGACACTGTTTACATGTGCCAGCAGCCACAAGACCCAAAAGCCTAGCCCCAATAATTAAATTGACAAAAACTGTTACCATATGGTGCCAGAAAGAGCCAGGATGGGGACAGAATCTGGTGGCCCAGTAGCGTTGTTGGCACCTGTGACGAAACCTAGCCAGGTACTTACTGGATATCTCATTTACTTCACAATCATGTGTCCCCACATTACAGGCAGTTGAAATGTGTGGGTCCCTCTTATGTATTATAATGAAATTTTGCAAAAACTAGAGACCTTGGTATTTAAAATTTTTTTTCACAGTGAACATGGTCAGTTCCCAAGAAGTAAATTTCAGACAAATTGTAAACATCATATATAATATTTTATTTATAATTTTTGGACAATCAAGGAAAGAGGGAAGATGTTATAAGTAATAGTCATGAGAATGAACTCTAGTACAGCTTCCTGTGCTAGAGTCTCAGCTGTCATTTATCAGCTCTCTGGACTTTGGCAAGTCACATAACTTCTCTGAGTCTCAGTTTCCTCATTTATAAAATACGGATAATGAAAATACTCACCTTATAAGGTTGTTCCAAAAAATTAAGTGAGAAAATGCATATAAAGTACTTGGCAATAGTAAGTGCTCAATAGATATAAAATATTATTGTTTACACAGTACCTAGTCTATACAAGCATTTGTAGTACATTATCTTGCATAAAATATATCTAACATTTATTTGATGCATGTTTTAAAATAAATTTAAGAGTGCTCTTTTTGGTAAATATTTCTTCATCATAGCTTACCTTTGTAAATAGGCGTGTGATTTTTATAAGCAATTTTCAAGATTGTTTTCAAGTCTTTTGGTAGCCAATAAATAATTACAATTAATATTCATATATGTGTCTGGTTTGGGGGGAGTTTCTAGAAAATCTGAACTGAAGAGCTTAAGATTATTTTAAAAACCAAATAAAACAGATGAGTAAATTAAAACGTCTGTTAAAGAACAACAAAAAAAAGAAAGATGAAACGATCTTTAAAAACTTTTAGTCCCTAAAAATATAGAAGCTATCATGAATTTCTACAAGAATATTTGATATGACACCGTATTTGATATAACACTGTAACCTAAAGAATGACAGAAAAAAGTCATTCCAAAGCACTCAATCAATTTTCCTATCCCCATGTAAGTCTGGGTTAGAGTTAGGCTATGACGTGATTTTTGAAAACTTGGTAAAAACATATTTACAGAACAGAGGCATATTTTCATATCTGGATAAAATATGTGCTATTCAAAATTGAAACTTAATTCTCTATAGTTAAGGAGGAATAAAAGAAAAAGGAATTATCATAATGTGCACACAATTGCTTTCAAGTTATGATACCCACTCAGTGTCATTTACTCTACTGAACCCAACTTATAATTATTAAACACCTTTAACATGCAAAATATATCTGAAGGACTCTCAATAACACAAAAAATATAAGGCAATTTAAAAATATTTTAGGCAAGATGGCTAAATAGGAACAGCTCCAGTCTGCAGCTCCCAGCAAGATCCACGCTGAAGGTGGGTGATTTCTGCATTTCCAACTGAGGTACCCGGCTCATCTCATTGGGACTGGTTAGACAGTGGGTGCAGCCCATAGAGGGCGAGCAGAAGCAGGGTGGGGCATCACCTCACCCGGAAGGACAAGGGGTTGGGGAGCTCCCTCCCCTAGCCAAGGGAAGCTGTGAGGGACTGTGCCATAAGGAACAGTGCATTCCAGCCCAGACATGACGCTTTCCCATGGTCTTCACAACCCACAGACCAAAAGATTCCCTTGGGTGCCTACACCACCAGGGCCCTGGATTTCAAGCACAAAACTGGCAGCCGTTTAGGCAGACACTGAGCTAGCCACAGGAATTTATTTTCATACCCCAGCAACACCTGGAACACCAGCAAGAAAGAACCATTCACTCCTCTGGAAAGGGGGCTGAAGCCAGGGAACCAAGTGGTCTAGCTCAGCGGATCCCACTCCCACGGAGCCCAGCAAGCTAAGATCCACTGGCTTGAAATTCTCACTGCCAGCACAGCAGTCCGAAGTCGACCTGGAATGCTCAAGCTTGGTGGAGGGAGGGGGGGTCCGCCATTACTGAGGCTTGAATAGGCAGTTTTCTCCTCACAGAGTAAACAAAGCCACTGGGACGTTCAAACTGGATGGAGCTCACCACAGCTTTGCAAAGCTGCTGTAGCCAGACTGCCTCTCTAGATTCCTCCCTTCTGGGTAGGGCATCTCTGAAAGAAAGGCAGTAGCCCCAGTCAGGAACTTATAGATAAAACTCCCATCTCCCTGGGACAGAGCACCTAGAGGAAGGGGCCCTTGTGGGAACAGCTTCAACAGACTTAAACGTTCCTGCCTGCTGGCTCTGAAAAGAACAGTGGGTCTTCCAGCACAGCACTCGAGCTCTGCTAAGGGAAAGACTCAAGTGGGTCCCTAACACCCATGCCTCCTGACAAGGACACACCTCCCAGCAGGGGTTGACAGAAACCTCACACAGGAGAGCTACAGCTGGCATCTGGCAGGTGCCCCTCTGGGAAGAAGCTTCCAGAGGAAAGAACAGGCAGCAATCTTGGCTGTTCTGCAGCCTCCGCTGGTGATACCCAGACAAACAGAGTCTAGAGTGGACCACCAGCAAACTCCAGCAGACCTGCAGCAGAGGGGCCTGACTGTTAGAAGGAAAACTAACAAACAGAAAGGAATAACATCAACATCAACAAAAAGGACATCCACGCAGAAACCCCATCTCAAGGTCACCAACATCAAAGACCAAAGGTAGATAAATCCATACAGATGAGGAAAAACCAGCGCAAAAAGGCTGAAAATTCCAAAAACCAGAACGTCTCTTCTCCTCCAAAGGATCACAACTCCTCTCCCGCAAGGGAACAAAACTGGACAGAGAATGAGTTGATAAATTGACAGAAGTAGGGTTCAGAAGGTGGGTAATAACAAACTCCTCCAAGCTAAAGGAATGTGTTCTAACCCAATGCAAGGAAGCTAAGAACCTTGAAAAGAGGTTAGAGGAATTGCTAACTAGAATAACCACTTTAGAGAAGAACATAAATGACCTAATGGAGCTATAAAACACAGCACAAGAACTTCGTGAAGCATACACAAGTAACAATAGCCAAATCGATCAAGCAGAAGAAAGGCTATCAGAGATTGAATATCAACTTAATGAAATAAAGCGGGAAGACAATAGTACAGAACAAAGAATGAAAAGGAACAAACAAACCCTCCAAGAAATGTGGGACTATGTGAAAAGACCAAACCTACGTTTGATTGGTGTACCTGAAAGTAATGGGAAGAATGGAACCAAGTTGGAAAACACTCTTCAGAACATTATCTCGGAGAACTTCCCCAACCTAGTAAGACAGGCCAAATTTCAAATTCAGGAAATACAGAGAAAACCACAAAGATACTCCTTGAGAAAAGCAACCCCCAGATACATAATCGTCACCACCAAGGTTGAAGTGAAGGAAAAAATGTTAAGGGCAACCAGAGAGAAAGGTCAGGTTACCCACAAAGGGAAGCCCAACAGACTAACAGCAGATCTCTCTGCAGAATCCCTACAAGCCAGAAGAGAGTGGGGAAACAATAGTCAACATACTTAAGTAAAGAATGTTCAACCCAGAATTTCATATCCAGCCAAACTAAGCTTCATAAGGGAAGGACAAATAAAATCTTTTACAGACAAGCAAATGCTGAGAGATTTTGTGACTGCCAGGCCTGCCTTACAAGAGCTCCTGAAGGAAACACTAAATATGGAAAGGAAATACCAGTACCAGCCACTGCAGAAACATACCAAACTGTAAAGACCATCGACACTATGAAGAAACTGCATCAACTAATGGGTAAAATAACCAGCTAGCATCGTGATGACAGGATCAAATTCACACGTAAGAATATTAACCTTAAAGGTAAATGGGCTAAATGCTCCAATTAAAAGACACAGACTAGCAAATTGGATAGAGTCAAGACCCACTGGTGGGCTGTATTCAGGAGACACATCTCACATGCAAAGACACACATAGGCTCAGAATAAAGGAATGGAGGAATATTTACCAAGCAAATGGAAAGGAAAACAAAGCAGGGATTGCAATCCTAGTCTCTGGTAAAAAAGACTTCAAACCAACAAAGATCAAAGGAGACAAAAAAGGGTGTTACATAATGGTAAAGGGATCAATTCAGCAAGGAGAGCTAACTATCCTAAATATATATGCACCCAATACAGGAGCACCCAGACTCATAAAGCAAGTTCTTAGAGACCCACAAAGACACTTACACTCTCACACAGTAATAGTGGGAGACTTTAACACCCCACTATCAATTAGACAGATCAACAAGACAGAAAATTAACAAGGAAAATCAGGATTTGAACTCAGTTCTGGACCAAGGAGACTTAATAGACGTCTACAGAACTCTCCATCCCAAATCAACAGAATATACATTCTTCTCAGCACCACCTTGCACTTATTCTAAAATAGACCACATAATTGGAAGTAAAACACTCCTCAGCAAATGCAAAAGAACAGAAATCATAACAAACAGTCTCTCAGACCACAATGCAATCTAATTAGAACTCAGGATTAAGAAACTCACTCAAAACCACACAATTACATGGAAACTGAACAACCTGCTCCTGAATGACTACTGGGTAAATAAAGAAATGAAGGCAGAATAAGTTCTTTGAAACCAATGAGAATGAAGACACAATGTACCAGAATCTCTGGGACACAACTAAAGCAGTGTTTAGAGGGAAATTTATAGCACTAAATGCCCACAAGAGAAAGTGGGAAAGATCTAAAATCGACACTTTAACATCACAATTAAAAGAACTAGAGAAGCTAGAGCAAACAAATTCAAAGGCTAGCAGAAGACAAGAAATAACTAAGATCAGAGCAGAAGTGAAGGAGATAGAGACATGAAAAGCCCTTCAAAAAATCAATGAATCCAGGAGTTGGGTGTTTTGAAAAGATAAACAAAATAGATAGACAGCTAGCCAGACTAATAAAGAAAAGAGAGAAGAATCAAATAGACACAATAAAAAATGATAAAGGGGATATCACCACTGATCCCACAGAAATACAAACTAACATCAGAGAATACTATAAACACCTCTAAGCAAATAAACTAGAAAATCTAGAAGAAATGAATAAATTCCTGGACACATATACCCTCCCAAGAATAAACCAGGAAGAAGTCGAATCCCTGAATAGATCAATAACAGGTTCTAAATTGAGGCAGTAATTAACAGCCTACAAACCAAAAAAAGTCCAAGACCAGACGAATTCACAGCTAAATTCTACCAGAGGTACAAAGAGGAGCTGGTACCATTCCTTCTGAAACTATTCCAAACAATAGAAAAAGAGGGAGTCCTCCCTAACTCATTTTATGAGGCCGGCATCATCCTGATACCAAAACGTGACAGAGACACAACAAAAAAAAGAAAATTTCAGGCCAATGTCCTTGATGAACATCAGTGAGAAAATCCTCAATAAAATACTGGCAAACTGAATCCAGCAGCCATCAAAAAGCTTATCTACCATGGTCAAGTCGGCTTCATCCCTGGGATGCGAGGCTGGTTCAACATGTGCAAATCAATAAACGTAATCCATTACATAAACAGAACCAATGACAAAAACCACATGATTATCTCAATAGATGCAGAAAAGGCCTTTGATAAAATTCAAAAACCTTCATGCTAAAAACTCTCAGTAAACTAGGTATTGATGGAACATATCTCAAAATTATAAGAGCTATTTATGACAAACCCACATCTAATATCATATTGAATGGGCAAAAGCTGGAAGCATTCCCTTTGAAAACCAGCACAAGACAAGGATGCCCTCTTTCACGTCTCCTATTCAACATAGTACTGGAAGTTCTGGCCAGGGCAGTCAGGCAAGAGAAAGAAAGCGTATTCAAATAGGAAGAGAGGAAATCAAATTGTCCCTGTTTGCAGATGACATGATTGTATATTTAGAAAACCCCATCGTCTCAGCCCAAAATCTCCTCAAGCTGATGAGCAACTTCAGCAAAGTCTCAGGATACAAAATTAATGTGCAAAAATCACAAGCATCCCTATTCAGCAATAATAGAAAAACAGAGAGCCAAATCATGAGTAAACTCCCATTCACAATTGCTACAAAGAGAATAAAATGCCTAGGAATACAACTTACAACCAATGTGAAGGGCCTCTTCAGGGAGAACTACAAACCACTGCTCAAGGAAGTGAGAGAGGGCACAAACAAATAGAAAAACATTTCATTCTCGTGGACAGGAAGAATCAATATCGTGAAAATGGCCATACTGCCCAAAGTAATTTATAGAGTCAATGCTATCCCCATCAAGCTACCATTGACTTTCTTCACAGAATTAGAAAAAAATACTTTAAATTTCATATGGAACCAAAAAAGAGCCCGCATAGCCAAGAAAATCCTAAGCAAAAAGAACAAAGCTGGAGGCATCATGCTACCTGACTTCAAACTGTACTACAAGGCCACAGTAACTGAAACAGCATGGTACTGGTACTAAAACAGATCTGTAGACCAATGGAACAGAACAGAGGCCTCAGAAGTAACACCACACATCTACAACCATCTGATCTTTGACAAACCTGACAAAAACAAGCAATGGGGAAAGGATTCCCTATTTAATAAATAGTGTTGGGAAAACTGGCTAGCCATATGCAGTAACCTGAAACTGGACCCCCTTCCTTACATCTTATACAAAAATTAACTCAAGATGGATTAAAGACTTAAACATAAAACCTAAAACCATAAAAACCCTAGAAGAAAACCTAGGCAATACCATTCAGGACATAGGCATGGACAAAGACTTCATGACTAAACACCAAAAGTAATGGCAGCAAATGCCAAAATTGACAAATGGGGTCTAATTAAACTAATGAGCTTCTGCACAGAAAAATAAACTATCATCAGAGTGAACAGGCAACCTACAGCATGGGAGAATTTTTGCAATCTATCCACCTGACAAAGGGCTAATATCCGGAATTGACAAGAAACTTAAACAAATTTACAAGAGAAAAACAAAGCCCTATCAAACAGTGGGCAAAGGATGTAAACAGACACTTTTCAAAAGAAGACATTTATGCAGCCAACAACATATGAAAAAAGCTCATCATCACTGGTCATTAGAGAAATGCAAATCAAAACCACAGTGAAATACCATCTCATGCCAGTTAGAATGGCGATCACTAAAAAGTCAGGAAACAACAGATGCTGGAGAGGATGTGGAGAAATAGGAACACTTTTTTTTTTTTTAAGACGGAGTCTCGCTCTGTCGCCCAGGCTGGAGTGTAGTGGCGCAATCTTGGCTTGCTAGGAACACTTTTACATTGTTTTTGGGAGTGTAAATTAGTTCAACCATTATGGAAGACAGTGTGGCAATTCCTCAAGGATCTAGAACTAGAAATATCATTTGACCCAGCAATTCCGTTACTGGGTATACACCCAAATAATTATAAATCATTCTACTATAAAGACACATACACATGTATGTTTATTGCAGCACTATATATGATAACAAAGACTTGGAACCAACCCAAATGCCCATCAATGATAGACTGGATAAAGAAAATGTAGCACATATGCACCACGGAATACCATGCAGCCATAAAAAAGAATGAGCTTGTGTCCTTTGCAGGGACATACATGAAGCTGGAAACCATCATCCTCAGCAAACCATCACAAGAACAGAAAACCAAACACCGCATGTTCTCACTCATAAGTGGGAGCTGAACAATGAGAACACATGGACACAGGGAGGGGAACATCGCATACCGAGGCATGTTGGGGGGTGAGGGGAAAGGGGAGGGAGAGCTTTAGGACAAACACCTAACGCATGCAGATCTTAAAACCTAGATGACAGGTTGATGGGTGCAGCAAGCCACCATGGCATGTGTATACCTATGTAACAAACCTGCACTTTTAGCACTTGTGTCCCAGAACTTAAAGTAAAATTTAAAATAAATAAATAAATAAAAGAAAACAGCAAAGCAAGAAAATCACATATAGATAGAGCCAGAGACACAATGAGACTGTCATTCTCTAGATCAAACACTGTCACATGTCATCATACTTGTAACCCAAAGCATCCTAACTTACAGATTAGGAACAGAGTTACATACTGTGAAAAGGGGTCACTTCCAATGAAAAATTTTAAAATTTTAGTATCTCTATATGTAAGTCATCTATCTCTATCTGTCTATCTATCTCAATGTATCTACCTACCTATCTATATTATTTGTTTTATTCTCAATTTATAAATCAAACTAAATTGAAGATTGTTACTCTCCTTAGTTTTTAAGATACATCAGAGACACATTTGGGTGTGAGCTACACCTCCAAATCTTCTCTAGTCACTAATTATTGAGATTCTTTTGGATATAAACAAGTTTCCCAAAAGATAATACTGTGAACACTCAAGCGTTTAAATCTTGTTTTCTATAAACAGCATAAATTAATGGATTTTGAACTTTTGTGATTAGATTAAAAAAATAATTAAAACAATATATACACTTAATACATGTGATGCATTCTGATATTTTCTATATACTTCTCTGTTATATACAATCTACTAAAAGATTCTATAATCCACTCACTAATAGGTTTGTAACCTGGATTTTGAAAAGTCACTGATAAATTACTCTATTGTTTTTGAAAGAAGATAATCCTTTCAAGAAAAAAAAGGGTGACTTGTCACTGTTGCAAAGAGTATAATATAATGAAAGGAAAACAGATTCATTTACAATCTTTAGATTTTCTGCACAAGTGGACTATGAGATGACCATTCAGAATAAATTTTTACTAAATCAATCGTATTTCTCATATATAAAGATAAAAGGTTATTATAGTTATTGCAAGTTATTTAAGGGTATGAAGTTTTGCTTGTCAAAGGTTCCATGTCTTCTGAAGCTTGTCTTTTGATCTTTGATAAAAACAAGCTAGTAAAAGCATTTAGTACAGATGAGGCCTGGGATTTCTTTCTTTCTAATATTCCAGAACAATATGATACATTCCCTAACGATAATAAATGTTAAGAGAGTTGCATTCAGATTAGCCACTAGTCCACACTACAATAATGATTTTCATGTGTTACACTGCTGCAACAAATAATACTCTAGAAGAGATTAGGGGGAAAAAAGTGGTTCCCTTAGTGAGTGGCTTATTAATAAGGAGTGGCTTGAATACTCATCTTCCGTATTATGTACTACCACATAAAAGTGAAGGGCTTATGAACCTCTTTTCTCTTCTACGCTGTTTTTATTTGTAGAATAGGGGAGGAAGAGATCTTGGTTTAATGGTTTTATCTTGTATTATTTTATTAAATATATTTTTCTCACCATTTTCATACCCTTCTTCTTGAGTGCCTATAATATGAATATTTGTTCACCTAATGGGGTATTCTATACATTCTGTAGGCTTTCTTCATCCTTTCAAATATATTTTTCTTTCTTTTGTTCTTTTTTCTTTCTTTTTCTTTTTTTTTTTTTTTGGATGTGCCTGTGTTATTTCAAAAGATCTGTCGTCAAGTTCAGAAATTATTTCTTCTGCTTGTTCTAGTCTGCTGGTGAAGCTCTTGATTGTATTTCTTTTTTATTGCATTCTTTGAATTATTCAGCTCTAGGATTTCTGTATGGTTTTTAATGATATCTCTTTGTTGAATTTCTAATTCAAATCATAAATTGTTTTCCTGATTTTATTGAATTATCTTTCTGTATTCTCTTGTATCTTACTGAGTTTACTTAAGATTATTATTTTGAATTCTTTTTGTGGCATTTCATATATTTTCTTACGATTGGAGTCTTCCTGGAGAACTATTGTTTTCCTTTGGAGGTGACATATTTCCTTGCTTTTTCATAGTTGATATGTCCCTATGTTGATTTCTACACATCTGGTAGAAAAGTCACTTCTTCAATTTTATGGGGTAGGTTTCATAGAAAAAGAGCAATTTGTATTAATGGGTCTTAGAGTGTCAGTTGGGTGGGGTGTGTTGGTCTTCATTTCAGGTGGATGCAGTAGTGTAGCCTCCAGGTAGTTTCTTTAACTGAAATCCACACTAGTGGTGTTTGTGAGTTTTTCAGTGGCCTAAGCTGAGAGAATTTGTGGTGACAGCGGTGTGCCTTTGCTGGGATTGGGCTCACCACCCTATTTCTCTGGTCAGGGGTACATGCATGCATACAGTAGGTCAGCCACCTTGGGGTCTGTCTTGCCATGGTTGAACCCACAGGGCTGTTACACTGGCCAGAAGCACAGACAAGTGGCTGCTTCGTTGGCTCAGGGGCATGTCCACTGGGGACAGCCCATGGGGCTGTTTCTCAGGTCTGGGACATAGGCTCTTGGCTGCTTGGCTAGCCTAGGGATGTGTCCACCTATTTTTCAGGTCCTTATTGGGAGCACAGGGCCAGTGGGAAGGCCCAGGGGTGTGTTTGTGGTGGGGTTAGGGGAGGATGTGAGGGTGCAGGGCTGTTTCTCAGGTTCTGAGTGTGGGCACATAGCCGACTCCACTGGGTGTATCAGCTGCTCGGATGTTCAGAGACCTCTCCCACTTGGAAGAAGGCATGCAGCAGTTTGGCTGGCTCGAGGGCAGGTTCGTCCTGGGAAGGACTGGTATACGGTTCCTCCTGCCTTAAGCAGGGGTGGGGGTTGGTTTCTCTGCCATACAAGACCAGAGTCATAGCCAATCCTGAGCCCAGACTCCCCACAGCTGGGTTGTGAGGTTCAATCATCCATGTGGGTTTGGCATAATGAAGATGGAGCCCCAGTGCTGGAAAAGCACAGTGGCTACTGACCTCAGAGCAAGACACACTCCAGAGATGGCTCAGGTCTCAAGATGGCACCATGCTGCAGCAGCTTGGCTCACAGTGGGTGAGTAGGGGTGGGGAGTATACACCTTGTACTACTAATCCAGTGCAACACAGCTGCATAAATTCCCTGCAGCTCTCCAAGATGGACTCGGGGCTTACAGGAACTATGGGATTCTTCTGTTTAAGGACTATAGGTGTTTGCGGTGGCTATGGGGCTGGGGGACAGTGGGGATCTCCTGCTTATCCTTTTCCCACATGTGAAGTCTCTCCTGACTCCAGGTATATCTGATCCAGGCAGAGAAGATGAAGCTGCAGACAACAGGTACCTCCACCTTACCCTCGTAGACTTCCAATCACTACTCCTCCATCACACTCCAGCACTCTCCCTTCAACACCGTAGTCAAAATCTTAGCTGTTTATTCATTGCCTTGGTCCTCTATTGTGGTGGGAATGAATGCCAGGTGTTTCTAGTCAGCCATCTTGCTGACATCACTCTCAATAGCTTTATTTTGTAGATGAGTAATGAAGACTAAGAAAGGCAGCAGCATAGTAAATAAGTGCCTTCTCTTGAGAATCAAATTCCCTGGGTTCAAATCTGCTACTTCTTAACTGTATGATCTTGGGCAAGATACTTAACTCTGTAGGTCTTAGTTTCATTAACTTTAAAAATAAGCATTCCAAGAGTATCTGACTTTCTTTGAGATTGCTGTAAAAAGTAAGGGTAAAGTTCTTAATATAGTTTCTGAAAAAATAATAAGTATTCAATAAGTATTAGATATTTCAATGAGGCCACTTGCACTAGGTCAGGCAGCTAAAAGGAAAGCCCAGTCTATTGTGGGAGTATAAGACATTTGGTGTTTCTGCTGTGTATGCCAAAGCATACTAATGATATTTAGTGATATTAATGATATTAATAATATCACTAACTAATATTATCTTTTTGCCATTTTTCAAAAAACTAATTCAAAAACATACGTTTGTTTTTAGCATAATTTTTATTTCTCTGAATGCTCAGACTTCAATTTACAGTTTGGTTTTCTATTTCAGCAAAGCTATCTCTTCAAAATATATACTCTAGGTACTGCAGTGCTTTAGGGCATTATTACAAACATGGGCTTTCAGTGTACTATTGAGTCAGAAATGCTGTTTAACGGAAATTACAGGTGATAGGCTGCCAAAAGAAAATAAATTTTTACTAAACCTTGCATTCTCTGCGAATTTTTCAAGAGTGCAAAGTAAAAAATTTACAGAACACCCAAAGCTCTCTCAGGAGCCAGTGATGTAGCTATATATTATTTCATTGTAATTCAAATAAGTAGTAAAGTGAAATGTCATTTGACAGCATTTCCTATTTCTCCTTTATATTACATATTAGATTTATAAATATCAGACAAAAATTTACTCGTAGATCCCATTACATGGAAAAGAATATTTTAATTACTGGTTATTTATTATGAAATAAAATAAAATATGCACAGACACCCCTCACTTTTCATAGATTCATGATTTCTGGCTTCCTATATTCCTCATACATGTGTCATCTTAGCTTCAGAGGTAACTCTTTTTACTATTCCTTCCATGAAAAATGATAGTTGGTAAAAAATAGAGTTACAATAGTCAATTTTATAAGTTTTGCTCTTTCAGAGCAAATTAAGATAAGAAATTATCAGAAAATGAGTAGGGCCCAGGAATGGTGATTTAACAAAAAATATGCTACACACATACACAGCACATTTTATGCTCTCTCTCTATATATATATGTTATATATAAACATATATATTTTATATATATATATATATATATATATATATTTAGTTAGAAGATTTGTTAGGCACATATTCCTCTTGGACTTAGGTGCCTTAGGCTGGATACCCCTTCTACCCCTGACAAAAGCAGAGGGTTGTGTGCAGTGCATTAATTTTGGAATGTGATTCTAAGGAATGGGATTGGGAACTTTGGAAAAATTAAATAAAGCAAGCCAATCTAAGATTGCATTTTTAAGCTGATCAGTACTGTAGGTAACTGAAGACCCTAGTGGAGTCCTACTGGAGACCACTAAGGAACTATACAGAATGCACTTCAGAATTGTCTGCCCAAGGGACGGAAAAGGGGAGTATTTATCCACTGAATCCTGTCCCTATTGTCAATTCCCTCAAACTTCCAGGTTTGCATATACGTCAGAGTAGATTAGCAGATTCCCACAGGTGTTCCACATAACTGAGGTGTCAGAAAAGCACTAATACAGAAATCTAGAGATACATGGGACAAAAGAGGTAAAGTGCTATCAAAGAGTAAAATGGGTGAATTGAAAAATGGCCTAAGAGGATGTGAGGTAGGACACAAGAGATATTAAATACAGTCCACTCCTTGCAGCACTCAGAGCCACACACATTCCACATTGAGTCCAATCTGTCACAGAGTCTTCAAGGAAGTGGGCAGCCATTATACAAATACTAAATGCAAAAGATTTAGTGGAACAAGTTATGTGGCTCCTGTAACTGATTTCAAGTCTATAATTGATAGTTATCATCTCTCTCTTCCATCACAAATTCTGTATTTCTCTCACATTTGGCCAAACTCTTCAGTAGTTTCAAGTGGTTTGAATGGTGAGGTGACCTAGACCTTTATCCTCAAAGGGTCAGAGTCCTTAGTTGCTTTACCTTGTCAGGCTGTGGTTGCTACAGTTGCCCATTTAAGATTACCACTTGACATTGAAACACCAAAGGATGACTCAATGAATCCCCTAGGAAGGACATACTCTATACTGCTTCCATTAATAGTTATAACTCTAGCTCTGCATGGTAGCCCGCTTCTATTTGCCTGCTGAACAGTTGACACGAAGAGTCATTATGACTAGATGGCTTTCATAGCTTCAGGTGCCTCAGCTGCACCTCAAGCCAGTCTACCACTGTTTTAATAACTGTGAAGTTACTTATAGCAGAGCCATTACCACCAACAATGGGGTCCTTGTCACCAAATGCCCTGTGATACAATTCTAGATTCTCATCCTGACGAACGGCTTTCTAGGGCTGCTTTAGGTAATCACTGACTTAGCCTGGGTTCCCCATGAAGCAAACATAGGACAATAACTTCCAAAGAGGTTGACTGTAGTTAAGCAATTCCAGAGAGGAGAGAGGTACCAGGAAGAGCAAAACAGAAAATGATGGAAATGAAGGAAAGATAATGCAAAAATGTGTTACTAGTTGGCCACTGCTGTGGGTAATCAGGGTGGAATCCTTTTAAGAGAACTTCTGAGGAGCTGTGTGGAAGGGACCATAAATTGTTAAACTGAGGGATGTAACAGAGAAGTAGTTATCCATCAACTCCCACCCTCTTTGGTCAAGAGGTGCCCCATGGGGTGTTTTAGTCCCTTCACACATCCCGGGTAGTTCATGTGAGAGAATGGCTAAATGGGTTCCTGCAAGTGTTCCACACAGCAGAGGAAGCAGAGAAGCCCTAGGGGCAGGAAGTAAGACATACACAGTACAGCTGAGGCAACTGGCCAGTCAGTTCACTGTATGCAACTGATGGCTGGAGTAAAAAGTTAGGCTGAGAGGATAGGAGGTGGGTCAGAAGAGCTATCTAGGACCAGTGAAATAAATGCTGTAATAAAGCAATGTGTAAAATATTATGGAAATTTACATGGAAAAGAAGAGACAATCCTTAAGCTTTGAGGCATGAGAAAAGGGCTGAGGGCTTACTGTAATTGCTTTATCCACTTGCTACCCTTTCTTTTTCAATATCAGATTAATTATGCTCATTATCTTCTGTCCTCCAAAAGCCTAACATTTAAAAAAGGAGCAAAAGGAGGAGAAGGAGGGGAAATTAAATGTTTTTTTTCCTGTGGCAAAAAACCTTTTTAACGTTTAAAAAAAGTAGTTTGGAGCCAAAAATAAAAAGCACATTTCCCTTCAGACTGTGACTTACACTTTCCTGGAGCTGGGAAAAAGCATGAGAATGCACCTGAATAAATATGCACATTGTGTAATCTATTTAGGTGGTGAGAAGAGAGAATCTGCTTGACACTGCAGTGAACAATTCAAATCACAGCAAAGAAATGCATTTATGCATATTTTAAACAAAAGGATGATTATTCTTTCATGGTCCTGAAGTTGAAAAACAAATTTGAAATGGCTATTACAAACACCCACTCTCAAATAAAAGTTTCTTGGATACAAGTTTCTAGAATATATCATTTGTACCTGACTAATGGACAAGCTTTCCGAAATTCTGTAGTTGATATGCATGTTCCTTTCAAAAGAAAATGTTTATATAATGTATTTTTGCTTGCTTGGTATTGGAAGAAAAGGAAATGCCTTATCTAGATGAAAGAAAGTTAAGAGATGTTTAAAAAACATCTAAACAAATTTTAAAAAGATACACATTAGATTTGAGAAAGCTCACAAGCTACAACATTCAAATTCAGTATTTTATATTGTTGTGATTGTATCTATCATATTTGTGCTTCATTTTTATCCATATTATAAATAGTTATGATTTATATCTGAAACTGTGATTCACAGTGTTCGATTCGCTTCTAAAATCAAGATGCTCTAAAATATATCTTGTTTTTATTTTGATAGTTTTATATGCATTTATAAAATTATTCAGGTAATTTATAAATAAATCGTCCTAGGTTATTTAAAATATGCCATTCGTATCTAAAACAGGCAGATCGTTTCTATATCAAATTAATTAGTTGCTATTGTCAGTTTTAAGAATAATTTCTCAATTTATCTAAGATGCCTAACACTGCCACCATGATGTGTAGTCAGGATACTTAATAATACCTTTTGTAAAAGTTAGCATTTATCTTACACCAGCTCTCTTTTTAGATAGAGAACATATATAAGAAATGAGTAAGTCGATAAGCCACATTTAACCATCACTAGTGATTGTTCAATGGAAACATATAAACTCAATGTAAACTTGAAGTTAATTCCATTTAATTTACAGCTTATTTTATAATAGTATTTTATTAAGGAATTAATTTACATATAGTAAAATCACAAATCTAAACATACAGCATGAGGAATGTTGACAAATATATGCAGCTACATAACCATCATCCAGATCAAAATACAAAACATTTCAATCACCCCGGAAAATTTCCTCAGGCCCCTTTTCCATTCAATTTGAATTCCCTGCCCTCACTCTAAGCAGCCACTGTTCTGGTATCTATCATCAAATATTAGTTTTGCCTGGAAGTGGCTTTAATATAAAAGTAATTAGATAGTATGTTATGTTTGGTTTGTTTTGCTCAACTTAATGTTTTTGAGATTCATACAGGTTGTTGCATGTATCAGCAGTCCTTTTTTAAATGAACAGTATTCCACTGACTATATTGTAGTTTGTCTATCCATTTTCCTATGGATGGAAATTTCACTGTTTACAATTTTGTGCTATTATGAATAAAGCTGCTATGAGCAGTCATTTTTCTGGGGTATATATCTAGGAATGAAATGGTTGAATCACAAGGTAGTGCAAGACAGTCCTCTAGGTGGCCTTGGACAACCTCAATTGTTCCCCCTTTTTCACTTGTAGTTTTCAAGAATAACTGTACTGTGTGCTGGGAATGCAACATCCTGGACTAAGTGACTCTGAGAAACATTGTGACTTTACAGATGAAATCATCTACAAAGAATCATATATTTTCTTGTTAATCATATACAATTTGCCACAGATACTATATTTTCAGTGACTTCTATGAAGATATTTGTTGTTGAAATGTATGCATGACATCTTAAAAAATTGATATTTATTTTTTGTTTATCTTAAAAGGTATAGAGGAAAAAATGATCGGTATGGTTATCTATTACTCCTATATATCACATTTCTCTATTAGCCACAGGTCTGATTCCGGTTGTTTCCACTCTTCTCCAAGCAGTGTGTTAAAATTGAAAGACTTGAAGTATTCTAGGCAATGGCTAAAAGCAAAGAAAAAGAAGGTGGGAATTGAAATGAATTATGCATTTGTGAAATAGTTGTCCTGAAGGGCTATTTATTTTGTCACAACTGTAATACAACATTCTATTTTAAGCAATACTAAAGGTAAGATATATTTTATATGTACAGTTTTCTCACTCTAGCTGTCAAACACTCAGCTCTGAAAACATTCACCTGCATCTCAAAGCACTCTTCTTTCAATTCTGCAAATAACTCCCTCACAGCTGAAGGGAGAAATCAGTTCTCAAAACATAACTCATTCCATCCAGCTTTAAACAAATCATATTATGCTCTTGCATATGTTTTTATATTCAAACTTTGATATAATTTATATCAGTCATATAAGCAATTGTTTTGAAAAGTTTCAGTTCCATTGATAAGATAGACTTCTTAATTCCCTTCTCTGCTGAAGCAAGAGAGGTTAATGTAAAAGAGTATTAATCCCAGTTCTTTTCTTTCGAGGAAAACCACTTAACTACATTAAGAAGCTTTCTCTTGTGGCTTAATGAGGAGAGAAAGGCTTAGCTAACATGCTGCAGTGGAGCCCCACTCTGTAGGAAGTCACTCTGCCTTGGCTCTGTCCTGGCCAATGTATAATCGTACTTCCACCTAAGATAAGCTTCCAAATAATGTATGAATGAAGAGCCTGAATATAGGAAGGTATTAGCTGATGAAGAGCCAGAGAGACATGACGTCTTGATATGAGGACCTTGAGTCAGTTGCAACTACATGTTTGTCTCATTCTGCCCACCTGGCCAGGATAAGTCAGTTTTTGAATCACAATTGTCAATCCCAGAGTAAGAGATTAAGGAAAAAACAGTGAAGGATAAGAAAAAGGAAGGGGAAAAAAGACTAGGTAAAAGCTATGTCAGGATTGGGGAGAAAGGCAAAGGGAAAAGGGGAAAAAATATCAAGCAAAATAAAGAAATATGCTAGAAGTGATAAAGACAAAGAAGCATAAAGTAAGAGCATGGCAGGAAGGAGAAGGCAAACAGGGAGAGGAAGGACGATGCAGCACATTCCACAGGTTAAAAGGCAGGAATGTCCATCTACCATAGTGCAATGCTCACTAGGATGTTTCTGTTAGGTTCTTCCAAATGCCCAGACTCACGAGACTACCTTGGCCATAGTGAGTATACCTAGAGAGATATAGAGCAGCAATCACAGCTTGCCCCAGGACAGCATCTGGCTTTCCTCCCTAAAGGAGTAGTCCTTGCAGAAGTCCATGAAGCATTCATAAGGCTGGCCAGGAGCTCTAGTCTGCCTATGTGAGAGCTACAGGTGCAAGGAAACAAGACTCAAATTGAGAAAGCATAGCAGATAACTTGGCTCAAATGCCTGCTGCCCCATGAGAGCAATATCTCTTGGAATAACTCCATAGCCATAGCTTCCAGGGTTCCCACAGGGAACATGACTGTTACAGGGGAATCCCAAAGCCATGCTGTCTCCATCATATATTTATAGTTCATCCAAAATTATTCTCAGTCCAGATGTAATTTGCCACTTAAGGGTCATTTTTATCGTAAGCAGTGTTGCCTAGAAACATAGTTGATATTTTTATCCTTATGAGGTTACCAGAAGAGGAGAACTAGAGAGATAACTGAAGATTAGATTTCCTTGTAACAGGGGACTGTTTGTTCACACCAGGAAACACTGATGCCTCTGGCCCTTTAGCTCTGAAAGAAATTTTAAATGAATTTGTGACCATACTTCTATATCAGCTATTACAACATTTACTTTTCTCACATGCAAACAACACTTTTCTCATACCACTATGGAAAAATAAGTGCTCTACTGACAGTAGTGAGAGAGATTATGACAGTCCAAAGTTTTCCAAGTATTTTCTGAGGACCATCAGTGAACATTGGACTCTACTAGATACTTGTGCACATATGTCGTCTTCTTTGATCAAAAGTGTTACTTCTGCTCCACTAAGAATTAATTTCGAAAAAACTCGTGTATTTGGAACATATCTTCATTTATTTTCTACTTACAAATCAGGTTTTTGTCCTTGCTGCAGTTCATGCTGAGGTACAGGGTAAAGAGCTTCATAACTTCGTTTATCTTTTGATCCATGAATTGCAAATGAATTGAATTTTGTCACATTTGGTGGAAAATAACTCCAAGGGAGATAAGCTTTGCCTTCCCATTTTGTCTCTCCTCTGGACATTCTGAACGATAAAGGAAGTTCTTGCTACAGAAACAACATGTGAAACACAAAAGATAAAATTGGGCTTACACTTTAAACATAGAAATATGTGTATTACTGTGTACGTAATGATTTTGCCTCCTATTTTTATTTACTTACTTTCCACACATTTCTTCTTCCAGAAAGTAAAAGCACTAAATGCTGTCCGTGGCTGTCAAAATTAAGATTCCTCATGAGTGTTTGAAAAACATGAATGTTATTTTCTTCACTATCCTTTATACATGGAATGTGTGTGCTTGCAACTAATTTTCCAAATAATTAAAAGATGCAGGCTGAGCATGGTGGCTTACGCCTGTAACCCAGCACTTTGGGAGGCCAAGGCGGGTGGATCACGAGGTCAGGAGATCAAGACCATCCTGGCCAACATGGTGAAACTCCGTCTCTACTAAAATACAAAGAAAAAATTAGCCAGGCATGGTGGCGTGTGCCTGTAGTCCCAGCAACTTGGGAGGCTGAGGCAGGGGAATCGCTTGAACCCGGGAGGTGGAGGTTGCAGTGAGCCAAGATAGCGCCACTGTACTCCAGCGTGGCAACAAAGCGAGACTCTGTCTCAAAAAAAAAAAGATGCAATATTAATATTGGATAATTATAGGGAGAGCCAGTGTGTTCAGTTGCTTAGAAATGACATCTTTGGGTTTACCACTCTCCAGACAACTGCCACCAAATGCATAAAGTTTCATGTTTAGATTGCTTTTTATATTCTTTAAAGAAACAATTATATAAAATACTTCATTTGGTTAGATGATACAAAGTATGAAAAAAGGTCAGAGAGATACCATGTTATTTGGAGTTTTTTATAAAACGAGTTTCAAAAACTAAAGCAAGCAACAATTTCCAAGTCTGAATTCAACCACTTTAATAAAGGTTATTTCTGTAAGAAAACTATCTGGTAGCTCATTAGGAAAATAAAAAATGCAAAACATAGACAGTCTACAACTAGTCAACAGGCTAAAGATTTTAATCTTTGTCTATTTTTTTCACACACGGTCCTCAACATGTCTGCCTCTTGTGTTTTCCTGCTTTCTACCATTCATTCAGCATCATGTTTTCAAAAAGGAACACAGTATATTTTCCAAGGGAAATTCTAATAACAGTGTACAATTGGGACTAGCCAGGTCATTAAGAACCAAAGGATTTCATGTATTTACATGAAGCAAATTCACTAACTCTAGAAAAACCTATATATTAAAACATTTCTATACAGGTACTCTTTTGAGAGCTTTTCAGGGAGGATTTCCTTCAGTAAACTATTCTAACAGAAGCCAAGTATTCTTTTCCATTTGAAAGTCTTCTGATTATTTTTATTGTTATTATGCAGCCTTAGGAGTACATCCTAGGAGTAAAAATTCTTGCAAATAAAAAAAATTCTTCCTGTTGCTTTCCTAGAGGTTAATAAACTGTTACAGGAAATGACTGCTTGAAGCAAAACTATGATTCTTGATTATTAACTATCCTGATACATAAGAAACCAAACTACTCTGTGAATTTTTTTAACCTTTAAAATCTATTAATTTTATACACAATGATTACTGTGTAATTTCTTAACAAGAGAGAATCTAATTATTCTATTCATCTAGTGTTGACATCACTTTATGAAAATGAACCAATATTATCATCTAATAAAATTAAAACTAAGGGCAAAATTTTAGGATATCCAAGTTCTTTACTGTTCTCTAGACAAATTATGAATGTTTGCCTTAGTTTTCTCACCTGTAGGGTAAAAATAAGCACACAATAGTTGAAATTTTCTTACTTCTCATGGCAGTTTATGAGAATTAATCATATTTTTCAATAACAAATTTTGGCATGTTAGTTGAAATGTAACACACAAAGGTATATGATTACTCTTCTTAAAAAACAGAACGCAAACAGCTAGACTTTTCTACATTAGATTTAGCTGAATATCAAAATAAAAGAAAATAAAAGAATATCTACAAATCTCATTTAAATCAATTGTTTGGAGCTCTCTGTCCAGCCTACAAAAGGAGCAATGGCTTCTGAATGTTAGACACTGAGAGGCATTTAAATGGCATTTCAAATGAATAACTGCAATATAAAGAAATATTTCATTATTAAATACTTTATTAATTTTAAATGTGCTATAATTTAGATAATAGGTGTACATCTACAGGAAAAAAGAAATAGTTTGCCAACCAGGTAAACAGGATTCCCAAGAGACAGTTAAACCTGAACAAAGAGAGTCCAAGGTTAATATTTGTAATGAGTCTAAGAAAATCTATATGTGGTTTAGTTTTTAAACCCTGGCACTGAATGCAAAAGTGACACAGCATATACTTAATAAATGCATGATGAATAAAGAATGAATACATGAATGCATAATTATGTAATACATAAAATTAAAGTTTCATCTAGTCATTTAAAAATCCCCTAAAAGAAACATTTTTATAAGCTAGCTCAATTAATTATACCCATATCTCTCCTTTTATTTCCGAACAGCTATATTATAATAATGCAAATTTATTGCGTAAATAATGAGAGTTTTTGTTTTATAATGACTTTTCGTTTTGAAAAAAATTATCTTGAAATTTATTACAAAAATCTACATTAATGAACTGAAAATATTGACATAGGATTTTCAAACATTTAGAATATGAGTATATTCTAAACATACATTCTAAATATGTGCTCTGTACTTGAAACTAAGAAATATATAAAAGCATATCATTCAAGCAAATTCAGAGTACCATTCTTACTCTGGAATTAATGAGCTTTTACTATATCATTTATAACTAGAAAATAACACGTTCAAATTATGTAGTAATAAGTAAGAAAAAACATTTTATACTTACGGACAAAGTTCAACTTCTAAATATTGCTCAGTTATATCATTCAAGAAAAATGCTTCCACAACTTTTGAAAACAGAGATATAACATATTGAGATATTTAATATTGCTTTCCAACAATAAATAATTTATTCCTTTAGAATATAAAATGAATTAACTATTCTTAATTATAATACTATCCCCAATAGGAAAAAGAGCAAAGAAAATAGACATTGCCTGGAAGAAGAAATATATAGGAAATAAATCATCAACAATTTTCTCACATATCAGATTGCCACATATTGAAAAGATTAATTAAAACTAGTGCTGGTCAGGTTGTAAAGAAATTAACATTATCACATAAACTTTGAGCCAGTTATCTTCTTCTAGGAATTTATCTTAAGAAAATAATCTGACAACTGGGAAAAGAATTAAGTATAATGCCATTCATTAGAGTACTGTTCAAAAATTAGAAATGATCTAAATGATTATCTCCTATTACATAAGATTATCTCTTATTCTCTAAATACATCTCCTATTATACAGGAGAACTGTTAAGTAAATTATGGAATTCATATATTCCATAAACAATGGAATACAATGCAGCTATTAAAATCAAAGATACCATTAAATATTTGTTGATATAGGAAGATATCCATGATATTCGATAAGTCAGCTGCAGAACAGCAACCAAAATGTGCATGACATTAAAATTGCATGTGTGTCTATGTCTAGATGTCTGCAAAATGTGCACAAAAATGTTAATGACTGCATATCTGTGATTGCAGGAATTTAGGTAGGTGATCTTTCTTTTCTTTTTTATAATTTTCTGGAAATTTCTGAATATTGCTATTTTTAAAATTGTTTAATTTTGAACATATACATCTTTCTTGTAAATAATTAAAACAATATATATGAAGTAAAAAGTCAAAGTCCTTTTCTTCCCCTTTGGTCTAAAACCTGCCAGACCTTTTCTATGCTTCTACATACTATTTTAATGACTGAATAGTAGTATTTTATAGAATATTATAACTTACTCACTTAATCCTTTATGGATAGACATTTAGGTTGTTTCCAATTTTCCATGTGTTATTTTTATAATAAAATAGCTAAAATATAGACATAATTCTGCCAGCAATTCAGAGAATCTTATTGTCCCTTTTTAAATCTTTTATATAGACAAATTAGAATGTCTACTGTGATAGTTAATTGTATCTGTCAACTTAACTAGGCCATGGTATCCAGATATTTTGTAACATATTATTCTAGTTGTTTCTGTGAAGCCATTTTTTAAAGATGAGATTAACATTAAAATCAGTAGACTTTTAGTAGAGCAGGTTTCCCTCTATAATGTGGCTGGGGCTTATCCAATCAGTTTAAGGTCTTCATAGAAAAAAAGACTGACCTCCCTCAAGAGAGGAATTCTACCAGCAGACAGCCTTCAGATTTGAACTGCAACATAGACTCTCCAGCTGGCTGACTGAAGACCCAGGGAAGAGTGGGTTTTCCAGCCAGTTGACTGAAGACCCAGGGAAGAGTGGACTTGCTAGCTGCCACAATTGTGTGAACTAATTTCTTAAAATAGATCTCTCTCTTTCTCTCCATATATATAAAATAGATAGGTACATACATACATACATAAGCACACATACTCTCTCTCTCACTATACATACATGTGTGTATATATATCACACACACACACACACACACACACTCAGATGCACATATATATCTTCTGCTTTCTACTTTCCATCATCACCTTACAAATACTTTTGCAGCTTCTCTGTATTAAACACTATATCAGATTCTGGAAATACCTTTATTGGCTTACAATCTAATCAGATACTAAAGTGGAAAATTTTAATAAAAGTTCCAAAATGGAGGATGCATGCATTGCTACAGGAAAAAATAGAAACAGATGTTTAGCTCAAAAAAGTGGTTTAGTGAAGGATTCCAGGAGAAGTTGCTATTTAAGCTCTGTCTTGAAAGATGATTTGGAACTAGGTGAAGAATGATAGAAACAGCATTCTAGGGCAAGAAAACAGTAAAATCAAGGGTACACAATTAGGAAATATTGTAGCTTATTTAAAGAACTATGAACAGTTCAGTCTTACCAGGCAAACCTTTCAATGTAGGAGAAGCTGGTGGTGCTACAGAGAATAAGGGGCCAGGTCATGGAAAGTCTTATACAGAGATCATATTAAGAAGGACAAAACTTACCTTGAGAGGAAAAGGATCCTGAGAAGGTTTTTAGGTAGCTGAAGGATGAGTTTAAATTTTCATTTTAGATATAGCAGTCCAGCTTCTAAATGAAGAATGGGCTTAAGGGCTAAAAGACTATTTAGAAGGCTCTGCCCTAACCAAGGTAAAAGATGATGAAAGCCTAACTTTTGGCAAGGATAGTGGGGATAAAAGAGGAGATACTGAGTTAGAGGAATATTTAGGAAGCAAAACTGATGGGACTTAGTAAATAAATCCAAATAAGGGAGAGTGTCAAAGAAGGATATCTTAGAAAGATCTCACAATTTTTTAGATTTGGTGATTTAATGTATTGTTAGTACCATTTATTGATATTGGACAATTAGGTAAAGAACTGGTTTATGAAAGAAGTAGGTGAGTTGAGATTAGAATTTGTTGAGTTTCATGTCTGTAGTGCCTCTAGAAGGTAAGTCACATTAGTGTGTATTCCATTAGGAAGATGCTATATACCCGTTTTGTATCAATAAAAGACAATATATATTTAACATATGACAAATTAACACTGACAAAATGTGTGCTTACAAATGGCATAAACTAGACATATTGACTAGAAGATTCATCAAAATCTTCTTTGAAGAAATGGGACATGAATTAGATCTTGAACTATGCATTAGAGGCAGGGGGAATAGAATGAGAAGGTACATAGGTTAAGAGCTTTTGGTTGAATATGGTGGCCCAATTCATAAGTGTGCTGAAAGCTTAAAGGAAGGGTTTGAACTTTATCCTAGGGATAGTAATGATTTATCATCTGGGAAATGGCATCATGAAGAGTATTTCAGAAAGATGAATCTGATAGCTTAATTAGGATACAGTAGAAGGAGATCATAGAGCAAACCTGAAACTAATTTTATGTCATGTCTTAATTTGATATGTGAGACGAGTTGCCAGGATAAAGTAAAAACTACATTTCGTATTGAGGTTGATAGTGTTTCTACAATAAGTAAAACACTCCAAATCTTCCATAAAGAAGATTTGTAATGTTAGAGTGGTAATTTAAAGATACTTAAATACAAAACAGGAATCCTGAACTCTTCTCAGCATAGGTAACAGAAATAAAGGAAGAAAATAAGGCAGCAATAAAAAAATCTGGATTTGTGGCCAGGCAAGGTGGCTCACGCCTGTAATCCCAGCACTTTGGGAGGCTGAGGTGGGCAGATCACGTGGTCAGGAGATCGAGACCATCCTGGCTAACACAGTGAAACCCTGTCTCTACTAAAAATATAAAAAATTAGCCAGGCGTGGTGGCAGGCGCCTGTAGTCCCAGCTACTAGGGAGGCTGAGGCAGGATAATGGCATGAACCCAGGACGTGGACCTTGCAGTGAGCCGAGATTGCACCACTGCACTCCAACCTGGGCAACAGAGTGAAGCTCTGTCTCAAAAAAAAAAAAAAAAAAAAATCTGGATTTGTAATTGCCATTTTTTAACTGTTTTTGTTATATAGTTAAAGTCACACAGGTAATGGAGAAAAAGTCAGAATGAGAGATTGGTAGGAAATATCAGAAACTGTACATGTCAATTGCTCAGAAGCACTTACTTCCCAACAGCAAGATAAAATAATAGTTCTGTGAGAGGTTATTATAAGAAGATTTATGTTTGCAATAAAATACAGTACTTCCACTTACCTTCATAATCCCACAGTTCATTGAAAGGTTTTCCTGGTTCTCCAAGTGGGGCTGGAGGATCCCTGAAAAATGGAGCACTAATGTCCATCATCACTCCTCTGTCACCTGGATTCAGCCTGATAAATACGGGCTCATGCTTCACTGGAAAACCATCCCAAGTGTGTTCAATTTTAAAATCCATCTGAAGTCTCTAAAAGAAAATATGTTAAAACAAACTCTTTAACAATATACAAATGTTTTCTTTAGTTGGAAATGAAATGAAAATTTCAATGCCAAACAGCAGACGGGAAAGGCAGCAGAGTGGCAAGAGCACAGTCCTGGGAGTCAAAAGGCTATCTTGTGTTGTGCCAAAGCACAGACTCTGAGTTCTAGTCTAAAATAGGTAACTAGTTCCTAGAGGTTTTAAAACTTCTAGATTTAACACTTTTTTATTTAACTTTGTTTTTAATTGCTGCCATAGAAACACTATCGACCTCAACATGAAAAGTGATAAAAGTGTTAAAAGTCTAGATTTGGCTCTAGTGCTGTTGTAAACAGTGCATCAAAATCATTTTTTTAATTGTAATTAAGTCTACTGCAAAAATTGTTAATATACTTAACTGTAACTATAAGCACCATGGGTTCTTATGTCATCCTTTGTCTTTTATTTATTGTAAAGTGTGCAGGTGTCTCAGTTACTGGATCCTCTGGGAATCAAGATCTTTATAATAAAATTCAACTTAGTTAAAAAAAAACTCCATAAATCAGTAGAAGAAGTGCTGTTAACACCTGTTCTTTTGGCCAAAATCCTTTTCTTCATGGGGGTTGGGGATGGGGAGTTCCAATCATTTAAAAGTTAGTAGAGTTGAATTTTGCCTTCCTTTGTCCCAGCATATACACTTTCAGTTTTAATATTTTAACTGTTAAATGACTGCTTGCTTGGTTAATTACCTCTCTCCAACTGAAAAATGGGAACAGAATCTGCAATCATTTAAACTTTGAAATAGACTGAGTACCTACAAAAAAGCAGTTTTTGCATTTTAAATTAGTATTCTAAGTATTCAATAGAAGGACACAGTCTTGTAATGCATTGATAAAATCACATTTTTGAATACTATGGATTGGGCATTTTCTAAACATTGTCTCATTTAATTGCAGTACAAACTTGCAGAGAAACTATTACTGTCCTCATTACAAATGGAACAGATTTGTCCAAGGTCACGTGACTAGCATATCTAGAAATTAAACCAATGTCAACAATGTTTTCCCAGATGAAGACATTTCAGGAATCTGCAAAGAGGTGAAAATTTTATTTTAGGAGTGGTGGACCCCCCAAATTATACTAGATCCTATGTTTTATCCAAAAGATAATCTCACTTAGTACCTGATAACCTTTCCAAACTGTAACTTCTTTTATCTGAAATCTTTGAATGTATTCCTTTGCTTCATAAGTTATTTACAGTCTTTTACTATAATTAATGAAGTTACTAAATTTGGAATAAATTTAATTCAGTGAATACGTATTGAAAACCTCCTACGAGCTAAGCAGTGGGAGATCCAAATGTACAAGCTCTGTGTAACATAAGAAATCCAAGACCTCTAAAAACCTTTCTCTAAAACGTATAGCTTTTACTAATTTTCACTATATGCTCGCAAATTTTACTAGATAATCTCTAAAATTAAACAATTCTGGTATTATAACCCATTTGTAGAAAGCTAATAGCATTTCAGAAGAAATGTTCAGCAACTCATATTCTTCATTATTGATAGAAGCTCAATGAGTGATAAGACTATATAAATTGATTCGGATTTAAGTGGATTGTATGGAATAAAATACCTCAATAATAAATTTATTTTCTTTAGTTGAAACATCAAAGCACATTCTACAAAAAAAATGTGTAATCCTCTATCCTAAATTTTGGTAGTAATAAGTATCCTCATGCAGCATATAGGAAGAAATATGAATAAATCAAGACGTTAGAAATGCTGAATGACTGATTCTGACACCAATAGGCTGAGAGAAAATGCTATTCTCCTAATTTAGAGCTTGATAATTCTTGACAATTTTGGCAATATATACCTTAGCTACTAGGAAGTTCTGGTAGATTCACTTATTCTTCATACAACCACCAAATCCACAAAAATTCTGCATACATTAAAGAGATCCCTATCTTAATCAGTGGGTTTCCACTAGGGACTTCTTAATTCCCAGCACATTCAGGCAATCAATTCTATGTCTAAATGGAATAAAACCATATCCAGTGATATCCAGTGATATCCAGTGATATGCTACTAAAAGTGGCCTATCATTTCCATGCACACATGGTGGGTCTCATGGTCAGAGTGTGGTAGACTTTATAGCAGGTGTGTCCAATATTTTGGCTTCCCTGGACCACATTGGAAGAAGAAGAATGTGTGTCTTGGGCCACACATAAAATGCACTAACACTAACAATAGCTGATGAGCCAAAAAAAAAAAAATCAAAATACAATCCATAATGTTTACGAATTTGTGTTGGGCTGCATTCTAAGCTGTCCTGGGCCACATGTAGTCCATGGGCCTTGGGTTGGACAAGCTTGCATAGGTTTCAAATTACTTCAAAATGTAATTTTATCTGGAAGATAAGAAGTAAAAGATAAAAGCAAAGTTACCATTGTTAAGAATTAGGTAGTGAGTACCTCAAACCTTTCTACTGGTTCCTTCTGCTTTTCCCCCCTAAGGTTTCTTTGAGCATTATTTGAAAATTACTGCAAAAAATAGTGACTAGACTTCCACAAGTAGGGAATAGTGCATGGCTGATCAGTCCAAAGACAGAATATAATTTTGGCTTTAATTGCATAAACAACTTTCGTTTCTTATTGCAATGACAAATTTGTTTTTTTTTTTAAACTTTATATCGCTTAAAGAACACTGACGTCAATCTAAGAATGCATAATATTTATAAAAATTAACCTAAAAAGTATAGTCCGTCCTGCCCAGTAGTTAACAGTCTAGTTTAAAACTAACATAAACTAGAGACAGATGATTCTCCCTCTGTAATCTTCTGAGATTTAACCCCCACAACCTTTCAATTTCTTTGTATTTGAACATGTGTTCATTAAGTAAAGACAACTTAATTGTCAATGTCCTTCACCTCTTGGGCTAGCGCTCCCCTCCTGGTCATTCTCTATTAACCTATACACTGCTCTATTTCTATTCTTACATGGCAATTACATGGCATTACATATTTGTTTATTGACTCCCTGAACCCAGCTAGAATGCCTATAAGTGATGGTTACTATTTATTTGTTGAGTGAATAATTTTTCTAGTCCCTGGATCTAACACTCTAGATTTTGTGCAGGAGAAATCTACTGTGTTCGTGGTATCATCATCTCATTTAACACTACATATCAGATCAATACAATGGCTAATAACAAAGATAATAAGCCCAGAAATTCCCTTCAATTTAGTTTATCAAGCATTTATTAAGCACTCATCTTATTTCAGGTACCATACCAGGTGCTGGGGAAATAATATATAATAAGTCTACAGGAGTTTGGGATGGTTCTCATGTAACTAATCAATGAGGTACCCGTTTCCAACATCAGTTGGTTCATTTTGCAGTCCAATTTAATTCAGTGGGATCCTTATACCAAAGTAAGTTTTAGATGAATCAAAGATTTAAACATAAAAATCAAAATCATATAAAAACAGGAAATAAAAAGAGAGTTAAATAAAATCTTATAGTAGTAAGGTAGGAGATGAGCTGGGCTTGTTTTCTGAGCACCAAGGTCCCACTGATTGAAACAGAATCTTATCAAAACAAGATGCAGCAAAGAAACTGGCCACAACCAGCTAAAACCAAGATGGCAACAAAAGTGATCTCTAGTTGCCCTCACTGCTCATTATACATTAATTATAATGCAGTAGCATGCAAAAAAAAACTCCCAACAGTGGCATGACAGTTTACAAATGCCATGGCAACTCC
Organism: Homo sapiens; assembly: GCF_000001405.40. Taxonomy (NCBI): domain Eukaryota; kingdom Metazoa; phylum Chordata; class Mammalia; order Primates; family Hominidae; genus Homo; species Homo sapiens. Next base: position 129,098,844 of record NC_000004.12, on the reverse strand, counting down.
TAGAAGTTACCTTATATGGTTTAAAAAAGGGAGGAACTCTCAGTTCTGGGAACCCTTCCTACTTTTCTGGAAAATGCATGAATAACCCACCCCTTATTTAGCATATAACCAGGGAATTGTATGTATACAGCTGGCCAACAATTCATGGGAGCTGCTGCTCCTACTCTGTCTATGGAGCAGCCATTTTCCTGTAGTTTGTTGCTCTGATAAACTTGCTTTAGCTTGTGAATCCTTTCCTGCATGAAGCCAAGAACTCTCCTGGGCTGAGCCCCAAATCTGGGCTTTCCCTGCATTAGTAGAGAAAACCTTTTAAAATACAAACCAAAACCCAAACATTTTACTACATAAATATAGCAAAACTAACATGGATGCAGCTGGAGGCTATTATTCTAAGCAAATTCATGAAAGTACAGAAAACCAAATACCACATATTTTCACTTATAAGTGGAAATTAAACAGTAGGTACTCATGGACATAAAGATGGCAACAACAGACACTGGGGACTACTAGAGGGGGGAGGGAAGAAAGGGGCAAGGGTTGAAAAACTAACTACTGGGTACTATGCTCACTACCCAGGTGATAGGATCATTCGTACCTCAAATCTCAGCATCATGCAATATAACCATGTGACAAACCCGCACATATATACCCTGGATCTAAAATAAAAGTTGAATTTTTTTAATAATAGATAAATAATAGTAAAAAAGCAAAAACCTCCTTCCCAAGTTCCCTTTACTCCAAAAGCCTATCATTAACAAAATCAAAAGTCTGGGGAAAAGTATATGCAATTCATACTTGATACAAATAACTAATTTCTTTAATGCACAAAGAGCTCCTAGAAATCAATAAGGAAAAGACCAACACTCCAACAGAAAAGTGACCAAAAATTATGAACAGCCAGTTCACGGAGAGAAAATGCAAAATGTTCACTTATAATGACAGAAATGCAAACTAAAACCACAATAAATTACCATTTTTCACTTAGATTGGCAAGGATCAGAAAGTCTGACAACAAGCTGTGTTAATGAAGGCATTGAGAAAAAAATCATTTATTGCTAGTGAGGCATAATTGATATAGCCTCTGTGAAGAGCAATACGTCAATATCTATCAAAATAAAAATGCAACTATCCTTTGACAAAAATAAGTCTAGTTCTAGGAGTTACTATACCTGCACATATTCAAAATGACATAAGCGTTGAGGATATTTGTGGTAGCATTGTTCATAATAACAAAATGTTGGAAGCAACTTAAATACCCATCAGTAGAGGACTGGTAAAAAAAATTATGCTATACCATACAATGAAACACTGTATAACTGCTAAAATGAATGAGGCAGCTCTGAATTAACATCTATGCTAAAATATGTTGTGAAGTGAAAAAAAGCAAGGTGCATTTATTTAATAAAAAGGAAGCTTATTTGCATATATGCTTGTGAGGCATACACTATCTCAGGAAACATCCAAGAAACGAGTGGTAACAGTGGTTGCTTCCCTGAAGGGAATTATCTGCCTGCAGATATGGGAAGGAGGAAGGCTTCCTTTCAACTTCATCACTTTTTAAAAACCTATCTGCATTTTACACTATGACAGACATGCATTACTATTTTAAGGTAACTGAACAGTTTAAAATTATTTTTTGGCCGGGCGCGGTGGCTCACACCTGTAATCCCAGCACTTTGGGAGGCCAAGGCAGGCGGATCACAAGGTCAGGAGATCGAGACCATCCTGGCGAACATGGTGAAACCCCGTCTCTACTAAAAATACAAAAATTAGCTGGGCGTGGTGGCACGCGCCTGTAGTTCCAGCTACTCGGGAGGTTGAGGCAGAAGAATCGCTTGAACCCGGAGGCGGAGGTTGCAGTGAGCAGAGATCGCTCCACTGCACTCCAGCCTGGCAACAGAGCAAGACTCCGTCTCAAAAAAATATATATATTTTAAGTCTAATTTAAGGCCGGTTCTCTTAAAAAGAGTATGGTGGCTGCCTCTTCTCCCCTTTATATTATATATGCTGAACGTTTCCGAAAAGTCATAATGCATATTATCAAGATGATTACTGTCCTGCAATGCAATTTTAAGTTTGGCTGTTTAGACTTTCTTAATACAATATTTATTGTTACTCTGTATGTTTCTACTTTTAACCTCTATTCTTCAAATTGCTCTTAAAACAAGTTAAAAAAATAAATTTTCAATTGTTCTGATTGCTTTATCTTTACCTGGAAAGACCTCTAAAAGGAAACGAAGGAAGAGAAAGGAGACCGAACACTGGAGCATTAAGAACCCAGGAAAAGAAAAAATGTCCGCAAAGTTTAAAAGAAATAAGTTATGGTAAAGGTGTTTTCTCAACCAAATGATCTGCAAGGAAAATTTCCAAATTCCTCTGCTCAACAAAAATTTCTTTAGTTTTTCTACAATAATGATTTCTTTTCAGTTTCCATACCTCCCCGAGGCCCCGCCCATTTATCAGGGAAACGGAGAAATGAGGAAGTCAGCCTGAAAGGGGGAGTACGCTCACTTAGCAGGAGACAGCTGAAAAGTAAAATACTTTTCAGTATTTTCCAGAGATCAAGCGAAAAACAAGACCTGGCGACGACGAAAGGAATGTCAGAGAGAAGAGGGAACAACTAGAGAACACAGACCACGAAGCTTTTCTCAAACACTGGCTTCTTCTTTTCAGCCGAGGTCACAGGAGAGGGCTCGGCTTTAGGCTCCACCCAGCTGCCTACACGTTCTGGGGGAGGGGCTTAGAACACTGAAGCTAAGACGCTTGATTTTTCTAGGAAAGAAAGATGTTGAAGGGCCACACATGAACAACTGAAGACTTCTAATCGTTCCACTAAAGTATGAGTGGTTTCCTAGAAGAAGGAAGGGTGATTCAGAAATATAAATACTGTGCAATAATTTGAAAATCAACTGTAAATCATTAAGATTACAATATAACATGTACAGAAATATTTCATTTAATACAACTAAAGGCTAACTGGCCATATAAGCAAAAACTATAAATTATATTATACCAGCTATAAACTATATTATACTATATTCCTGGGGAGGCATGTTCATAGCAGTTAACAATTGTGAAATTAGAACCATACTGCCTGGGTTCAAATCTCAACTCAGGCACTTGCCAGCTGTGTGATCTGTTCTGATCCTTGCTTAAACTTCTAACTTTGTATTCTTCCTGGTACTTTGCACATAGTACTGGGTGCTCAATGTCAATTGATCAACCAAATGAATGTTAGTGAAATGTCACTAATTTTCAATCTATACAACTTTAGGGGTTTTCTTTATTGCAGAAAAGTCATATAAAAACATTAAATGGTGGCTTGACAAGAGTTACACACAAACTACATACATTTCTGCTTGTCATTCCTTGTATTCAATTTATACTAATAGATACTTTTCATGAACATCCACTGAATTCTTTCATTCCTTCCATCAGATATTTAATCAACTCTGTGTTCCAGGTATTATGATGGAGCCTGGAGACAAACTACAAAACATGACAGATAATGCAGGAAGGAGCATGAAGTAAGTACTAAGGTGGCACCTACCTTGGGAGAAGTGGATAAAGAACTCAGGAGATGTGAAAAGGAGGAACATGAGAGGGGATCCTTTAAGGATAAGTGAAATCATCACAATTTTGTTTCCTAATGATGAAACTTATGTTGAAAATACTCCATTAAAATTCAACTACTAAAATCTTGTAACCACAAACACAAACGCAAAAACAAAAAACTATCATGATCATAATTATGATCATGTAAGCTAAAAAATTCGAGTGCAGACATAAAAGTTTTCACCTGAGATATTCACTTTATGTAAATACCACTCATCAGTTATAGCCAGAAGGTATTTGCTTCCATCCAGTTTGGGTGTAAGCGTAGAGTTAAGTCTATAATTATTTATTTGATGCCAAGTAGAAATACGACAATATACAAGGTTCAAATGTGGGAGAAGTTACAAGCAAGTCCTTGGAGAGTCAGTGAGATGTTTATGAAGAAAGAGTCATATACTGAACTTCAAAAACGAGTTGGACCTTGCACACTCAATTTTCCCTTAGCTATAACGTTTATACAAAAAGTTTTTGTGTAAACGTTATAGCTACTAAAAATCAGAACAAGTTCAATTATCACCAACTCAAAGCTGGATTAGACCTTTTCAATGATTATTAAGCTACACATCCATATTTAACAGCTAGTCTTTAGAGGAAGGGACCATCTCATTCTATTAACAGTGAGTATTGAGTAAGGCCTTCAGATGCCTAACTGCATATATTTGAATACATTTTTAAAATTTCTTAACACATATCGCTAAGGTTACTTTGTTTATATGACATTATGAGTACGGGACAACAAAACTCTTAAGCCGTTAAACAGAAAGCCAAATCAAGCTGCATCTATGACATGCCTGTTTAGTGAAACTTTACTTCAGTCCATAAAAATACAATTTATTAAAAGCACAAAACTAGTGGCTAGCTTCAAGTTAACATTTTTGTTGCTAGTGGTGAGATTTCCTCTAATGTTAAATGATTTTTTTTAAAAAAATACGTTTTAAGTCCAGACAAAATTAATTTTCAAAAATGAAAATTGTAATCTATCCACAAATGTAAGTTTTACCGTTTTGTTTTTTGCAAAAAAAAGTACCTTTTATCTTTCCTTATATTTGAGGAAACAAGCTTATCTTTGAAGAAGTAGCTGCTGAATTTGCAAGATCTTTTGAGTACTTCTAACTACACGCTTTATTACTACACAGTTAAATATTTAAACAACAGTTGTCTCCTTTGTCTAAAGACCCACAAAGACCGAGAAGGTACTTACCTTCTTGAGATGACCAAATCCAAACCTAGAACTCCTCCAGAGGTACAGCCTTGGTGGGAGATTCTGAAGACGCCAGTCTGGCTTCTATCCCTAGCCGCAGGAACCTGCATCTTTTACTTAGTCCAGAAAGGCTTAGTATATTAGTAACCCAAAGATAGTGAGGGCATTTAAACTGTGTATTTCATTCTCTACTCACGTTTGCATTTTGGTTTTTTGTTTGTTTGTTTGTTTGTTTTAAAGAGGTTGGGCCTCACTACCTGGAGACACTGTCCCACCAGTTTGGCCGCCGCGCCAAGCCGGTGGCTCAGCCCGCTGTCATCCAGGTTCTCACGACTCCTCCCATTGCTTGACAGCCAGCCAATAGCGTGCTAGGACTCTAGGACGCGCGATGGCGTAAGCTCCAACGCCCGCGTGATGACGCAAGAGGCGCCACCGTCTCCAAGGAGTGGTCCGGGGCACCGGTTTCAAAGTCGCAGGGCGGGCCGAGTGGACTTCCGCTGCTGGCCTGGGGCTTCCCAGCCGTCTTGGCGTTGTCCTCTCCAACCCCCGCCGCTCCGCGTAGAACGCCGCTCTCAGGCTGCCGTCAAGCTCCCGCGGCACTCTCCTAGGTGGCCCGACGAGACCCAGAGTGACCCGCGGGACGCCTGTATCGACCGCGTCCTCTTCCCACCAGCGTGGGATTCGGTTGAACGTGGAGTCCCCAGCAATCTTCAGTCTCTCACCAGGGCCAGGGACTCGTCTGGGGCGCGGGGGAAAGAAGCGTGGCGGGGCTGTAGATGCCGCGTGAGTAGGATGCAGATTGCACCGCTGGAGCGCTTGACAACCAACCGAGCGTTGGCTTAGTTTTGTTTTCCCGCACAGCAAGCTCTCTGTCTTTCAGAGGAAGGTAAAGGTGGTGAAAGCTCTAAACTAAAATTGTATCGAAATGGCTGCAGAAATCGACTTTCTGAGAGAGCAAAGTAAGCTCCATGTTTTTTTGAGACTTCATATACAATGTTTAATATCGTCGTCGTTGACCGACAAATCTTTTTTGAATGCTGGTTGGGTACATTTAAATTGGTAAAGAGTTAAAGAAGTTAGTTGCAGGAAAAAAAAAACCTTGATGTTATACGTGAGGATGTGTGTATATTTAAGCAGAACCGTGTGGTAGTACTTGTAGCTTACACAGAATTCTACTAGACGCTAAACATGTTTGTTATGCTCCTCTCGTGCTCTGAAGATTAGAAGGCTAATGGCCAGCAGGAGTTTCCAAGTGTGCATTTAAAATCTAGGGGCACAGCTCTCTGGCCATTTATTAAAAAGATGTTTATTGAACTCCTGTTTCTATTATGTACCAGACACTATGGAAGAACAGCTGCTGCAAAGATAAACAGGACAGTTTTTACCTCCAAGAATTTAATTTGGGGAGGGAAATGTATTCCAAAATATATTGAAGTGACAGCAACTGCTGGCTCTTTTGCCACAGTCTCATAGGGTTGTTGGAAAGATTAAATGAATATTAAAATATGTAAAGGATTTAGAATAGTATCTGATACATTGTGTTAAACAAATATTAACTATTACACGATTATTATTAAAATATGTTCAAGGAAGGTGCTATTGGGCTGAAACGTGCAGTACAAATATGAATTTACTATATGAAAAACTCTAGGCATCCCAAATAGAACAATATTTGTGACACTGAGGGGATTAGGAATATGCTTTGTTAAAGACTTGCAATACGGCTGGTTTGAGTGTAATATTGATGTAAATTGAATTGGAATATTTATATAGGGAAATGGCAAGTGCAGTTGAAGGCGTAGAAAGGGGCTGGATGGTGAAGGGCCCTGTCTTCTCTGTGCTAAGGAGTATGGACCATTGCATGGGTTATAGGAATTCAGTTGAGAGTGGCATGATCAAATTGTAGTTTAGAAGGCCCGGTCTGATTTTTACGGGGAATATGCATTATAGCAGAGTGCAGTTAGTTGTCTACTGTCATCATTCAGGTAAGAAGTAAACTAAGTTGGGCACAGGGAGACTGGAGATCAGGGGATTTGAGAGAAAGAGGTAGAGAGCAACTTAGTTTTTGCTTGAGCAACGGGGAAGTTAGGAAAAAGGTAGTAAGTTCCGTTTTGGTAGCATTATAGACCAGTGGTTAAGAACTCAGTCAGCCTCTGGATTTAGTCTGTCTGGGCTCACAGCCTACCTCTTTCCAGGTCTGTGACCTCGAGCAAGTTTCCTAGCTTTTCTGCACCTCAGTTTTCTCATTTATATAATGAGTATAAGAACACAAGAATCCTCTTGAAGTTGTGAGACTTAAATGAGATGATGAAAAAGCATTGAGCATAGTGTCTGGCACATATTAAGTGCATGGTATATGTTATCTAAAATAATTAATGACACTATAATGACACAATAACATTAGCATTATTTCTTAGGTTTGCAGTGGGAATATCCCCACCCCATAAGAACAGCTAACTGGCCACCGTAAGAGTAGTGTGGGACAGGAATTGGTTGATGAGGAGTTTGGCTAGAGTCAGGATAGTACTTGAGGTGGTCAGAAACTATTAATTTTATAAGAATGATCCAGCCAGAATTCTTAGATAAAACTGAGATCCAAATACCAGGGGAAAACAAATAAGACAACTGAAGCATAGTAACATTTTTTTAAAAATGAGTGGTATTTAATAGTTCCATGGAAGACAAGTGGAGTGCAAGAAGGAAATCTCAAGCAGAAGGAGCAGAAGAAGGAATGGTTCAAAGGCTTAAAATAACTGATTTTATTCAGGAAATCGGAGCATAGAATGGTAGCGTTTGCATGAAGAGATAAGAATGAGAGTTGAGTGTCTGTGTCGCTCTCCTTTTTTCTTTAACCGGATTTTGCATGCCATTTGAAGGTGGTGGGTTATTCCATTAAGTGACCCACCTAAATACCAGCCCAGATAAAGATAGATCACTTGCCTTCTTTCCACCTGCCTCTGACTTTTTCTACACTGATTTCTGTTGATCTTGATTGTCTCTTTGTTCCGTTTGGATTTGGGAGCCCAGGTCAAGACCATTTGTTTTGGTACTTCTCAACTCATGTTTTGGTACTTCTCAACTCATGTTTGGTACTTCTCAACTCTCATGTCCCCACATGACATTTCCTCTGATAATTACTATTTCAGCTTTACATATCATAACGACAGGCAGCTCCACACTCAACCAGGCTACTAGTAGAGTAAGCTTGTAGCATATTTGCTGTGCACCGTTCTTCCACCTTTGTCTGGGAAAGATCAGTTAGTTTTTAGGAACCTGTTCAAAGAGGTACTTGCATTATCAATCTAAGGAACTAAGAATTCATTCATTAGTGGGGTGTGAGACTCACTGGCAGAGTGGTGATGGACTTATTTTTTCTTTTCATTCTCTTAATAGTGTTGGAGCCAAACATTTTTAATTTTGATGAAATTTAATTCATCAATTTGTTCTTTTATGAATTGTGTTTTTGGTGTCATAAAAGAAATCATTGCCTAACCCAAGGCTGCAAAGATTTCTTCTATATTTTCTTCTAGGAGTTTTATAGTTTTAGGTTTTACATTTAGATCTATGGTTCATACAGTTAAATTTTATACAAGGGATGAGGTAAGGATCCAGGCCACTTTCTTGCATTGGATGCCCAAATGGAAAAACTACCCTTTCTCCATTGAATTACCTTTGCTCCTTTGCAGTTGTTTATATATGTATGGATCTATTAATGAACTCTATTCTTTTCCACTGATTTATTTGTCTGTCTGGACACCAGTACCCCACTGTCTTAATTATTGCAGCTTTATAGTAAGTTTTAAAATAAAATTGGTTCTTCTGTACATCATTGATGTATCTTTTTAAATTTTCTCAGCTATACTTTGTAGTTTTTAATATTTAGGTTTTGCACATCTTTTGTTAGATTTATGCCTATGTATTGAAATTTTTGATACTACTGTAAATGGTATTATTCTTTTACTTTCAGTTTCTGATTTTTCGTTGCTAGTATGTAGAAATAACATTTCTTTTTTATTATTATACTTTAAGTTCTGGGGTACATGTGCAGAACGTGCAGTTTTGTTACATAGGTATACTCATGCCATGGTGGTTTGCTGCACCCATCAACCCGTCACCTGCATTAGGTATTTCTCCTAATGCTATCCCTCCCTTAGTCCCCCACTCCCCAACAGGCCCCGGTGTGTGGTGTTCCCCTCCCTGTGTCCACGTGTTCTCCTTGTTCAGCTCCCACTTATGAGTGAGAATATGCGGTGTTTGGTGTTCTGTTCTTGTGATAGTTTGCTGAGAATGATGGTTTCCAGCTTCATCCATGTCCCAGCAAAGGACATGAACTTATATTTTTCTATGGCTGCATAATAGTCCATGGTGTATATGTGCCACATTTCCTTTATCCAGTCTATCATTGATGGACATTTGGGTTTGTTCCAAGTCTTTGCTGTTGTGAATAGTGCCGCATTAAACATACATGTGCATGTGTCTTTATGGTAGAATGATTTCTGATTATTTGGGTATATACCCAGTAATGGGATTGCTGGGTCAAATGGTATTTCTGGTTCTAGATCCTTGAGGAATCGCCACACTGTCTTCCACAATGGTTGAACTAATTTACACTCCCACCAACGGTGTAAAAGCAAAAGCATTCCTATTTCTCCACATCCTCTCCAGCATCTGTTGTTTCCTGACTTTTTGATGATTGCCATTCTAACTGGTGTGAGATGGTATCTCATTGTGGTTTTGATTTGCATTTCTCTAATAACCAGTGATGATGAGCATTTTTTCATGTGTTTGTTGGCTGCATAAATATATTCTTTTGAGAAGTGTTTGTTTATATCCTTTGCCCACTTTTTGATGGGATCGTTTGCTTTTCTCTTGTAAATTTGCTTAAGTTCTTTGTAGATTGTGGGTAGGATCTGACCTTTGTCAGATGGATAAATTGCAAAAATTTTCTTCCATTCTGTAGGTTGTCTGTTCATTCTGATGATGGTTTCTTTTGCTGTGTAGAAGCTCTTCAGTTTAATTAGACCCTATTTGTCAGTTTTGGCTTTTTTTGCCATTGCTTTTGGTGTTTTAGACATTAAGTCTTTGCCCATGCCTGTGTCCTGAATGGTATTGCCTAGGTTTTCTTCTAGGGTTTTTATAGTTTTAGGTCTTACATTTAAGTGTTTAATCCATCTTGAGTTGATTTTTGTATGAGGTGTAAGGAAAGGGTCCAGTTTCAGTTTTCTGCATATGGCTAGCCAGTTTTCCCAGCACCATTTATTAAATAGGGAATCTTTTCCCCATTGCTTGTTTGTGTCAGGTTTGTCAAAGATCAGATGGCTGTAGATGTGTGGTGAGAAATAACGTTCTTTAATATTCTGCTCTGCAGCCTTGCCAAACTCATTCATTAGCTCTAGTAGTTTTGTAGAGTCTGTCAGTAGTTTTATGTAGATAATCTTGTAATCTGAAAATAAAAAGTTTTATTTCTTTTCAATTTGGATGCCTTTCATTTCTTTTTCTCACCTTATTGCAGTGGCTAGAATCTCTGGTACAGTATTGAACAGAAGTGGTGGGAATACACATCCATATCCTGTTCCTGATCTTATGGGGAAGGCATTTGTCTTTCAGAATTAGGTATGATACTAGTTGTAGGTTTTTCATAGACGTTCTTATGTTGAGAATGTTCCTTTCTATTCTTAATTTGCTGAGAGTTTTTATCAAAATGGATGCTGGATTTTTAAAAATGCTGTTCTGCATCCATTGAGATTAAAAGATATTTTTTCATTTTTTGTTTGTTAATAGAGTAAATTACATTGATTAATTTCAAATGTTAAAACCACCTTGCCTTTCTGGGATAAATTCCACTTGCTCATGATGTATAATCCTTTTTCTATATTGTTGAATTTTATTTTATAAATGTTTGTTTAAAATTTTAGTGTGTTCAGCTTTTTTTTTTTCTTTTTGGGACGGGATCTTCCTCTATTGCCCAGGCTGGAGTGCAGTGGCACAATCACGGCTCTTTGCAGCCTCAACCTCCTGGGCTCAAGCGATCCTTCTGCCTCAGCCTCCTGAGAAGCTGGGACTACAGGCACATGCCACCATATCTGGCTAATTTTTTTTTCTTTTTGTAGAGATAGGGTCTCCCTATGTTTCCCAGGCTGGTCTTGAACTCCTGGGCTCAAGTGATCCTCTTGCCTCCCAAAGTGCTAGGATTATAGGCATGAGCTATCATGCCCAACCTATGAAGGTTTTTTGCTTTTCTTTTTTTTTCTTCCTTTTTTTTTTTTTTTTTTTAACTTGCGCAAGGGTCTCACTGTCACCCAGGCTGGAGTTAATGGTACACTAGTAGCTCACTACAACCTTGAACTCCTAGGCTGAAGCCCTCCACCTGCCTCACCCTCTTGAGTAGCTAGGACTACAGGCATGTGCCACTGCACCTGGCTAATATTTTTATTTTTTATTTTTTGTAGAAGCCGGGTCTCCCTTTGTCACCCAGGCTGGTCTTGAACTCCTGGCTTTAGGCAATCCTCCCACCTCAGCCTCTTAAAGTGCCTTTTTTTTTTTCCTTCCCAATATTTTTGTCTGGTTTTAGTATCAGGTAATGCCAGCCTCATAGAATTACTTGGAAAATATTTTGTACTCTTCAACTTTCTGTAAGAGTATGTATAAAATGATATTATTTCTTCCTTGAATATTTGATAGAATTCACCAGTGAAGCCAACTGGACCTGAAGTTTTCTTTGTGGAAAGGTTTTAAAATACAAACTTAATTTCTTTAATAAATAAAGAGCTATTCAGTACTCTGTATTGTACTCGAGAAGAACCTCTGCAGGTCTCACATTCCCTAGGGTTCTTTCTCTGTGCAGTCTTCTATCCTTTGTCCTGCCAATTCTAGTTCACTTAATCTCCACTACTTCTCAGCTCCACCTCTTAATAAGAGTCCAGTGGTCTCCACTTGCATTTCCTCCCCCCGTGTCATGGCCCTGGAAAGTCTCTTAAGTCATTAAGGTGGGGCAATCATAGGGCTTACCTCATTTGTTTCTTGTCTCTGATTATCATTGTCTGATGTCTAGTGTACTATAAGGTATTGATGATTTTTTTGCTTGCTTTTTCATGTGTGTCAGGCAGAAAAGTGGTCCATGTTATTTCTTCTTGAGTATAAGCAGAAGTCCTATTCAAGTTGCCCTACTTTTTGATGTCTTAAACTCAAGTATCTTACTCCTACTATAACTGTTCTTTGACCTCCTCATCCTTTGAGCCCTTCATTTTCTTTACCACCTTGACTGCTTCCCAGTTTGTTTTTACTGGTGTCTTTTACAGGCTGTAACCATTGCCCATTAGTCCTTCTGCGCTTGTCAGTAATCTTAATATGATTATACCCCTGCTTTTCTATAGCTGATGCCCAGTAACACCTCATGCCATGATTGGTTGGTTTGCCTTTACAGTTCTCATACCAAATGCTGTTTAGTACCTATAGATAGCTGAACCCTCTGGATAAGTGCCTTCACAAAGTCAAGGTTAACAGAGCTAGTAAGTGACTGAGCTGGGATTTGAACCCAGGCAGTCTAGTTTCAGTGTCTCTTTTCTTAACTGCTACACAAAAAGCATACTTGCAAGAAAGGAAAACTGTAAACCTGTTTCACTTATGCATGTTGGAACTAAAATCCAAAATAAAATATTAGTAAATTGAAACTAACAATGAATGTGTGTGTGTATATATATATATATATATATATACATACATACACCAGCATCTTCAGGTATCCAGGAAACGCAAATTAAACAAGCCAGATAAGTACTTGTAGAATGAAGGAAATAATAACATTTAAGTTACAGTAAAATTTTCTCCAGATTATAGTCAATCTATGAAGATTGAAAGTGTTTCCCTCATTATTAATACATAATTTACTTCTTATCCTATTTTAATTACTGAGGACACAGATCTAGTTTTTTTCTTAATTGAAAACTCTGTCAGGGAAAAAAAAAGAGGTTTGTATTGTGATTAATTTTTTGTTTTAAGTTTTTCTTTTTTTAAAATTTATCTTTTAAGTTCAGGGGTACATGTGCAGGTTTGTTATATAGGTAAACTTGTGTCATGGGCATTTGTTGTGCAGATTATTTTGTCACCCAGGTATTAAGCCTAATACCCATTAGTTGCTTGTCCTGATCCTCTCCCTCCTCCCACCCTTCACCCTCCAATAGGCCACCGTGTGTGTTGGTCCCCTCCATGTGTTCTCATCATTTACCTCCCACTTATAATTGAGAACATGCCGTACTTGGTTTTCTGTTCCTGCATTAGTTTGCTAAGGATAATGGTCTCCAGCTCCATCCATGTTCCTGCAAAGGAGATGATCTCGTTCTTCTTTATGGCTGCATAGTATTCCATGGTATACATGTACCACATTTTCTTTAGCCAGACCACCATTGATAGGCATTAAGGTTGATTTCATGTCTTTACTCTTGTGGATAGTGTTGCAATGGACATACATGCTCATGTGTCTTTGTGGTAGAATGATTTATATTCCTTTGGGTGTATACTCAGTAATGGGATTAAAGGGTCGAATGGTATTTCTGTCTTTAGGTGTTTGAGGAATCGCCACACTGTCTTCCACAATGGTTGAACTAATTTACATTCCCACCAAAATGTATAAATGTTCCTTTTTCTCCACAACTTCACCAGCATCTGTTATTTTTTGACTTTTTAATAATAGCCATTCTAACTGGTGTGAGGTAGTATCTCACTGTGGTTTTGATTTACATTTCTCTAATGATCAGTGATGTTGAGCTTTTTTTTGTATGCTTGCTGACCGCATATATGTCTTCTTTTAAAAGGTGTCTGTTCATGAGCTTTGCCCACTTTTTAATGGGATTTTTTTCTTGTAAATTTGTTCAAGTTCCTTATAGATGCTGACTATTAGACCTTTGTCAGATACACAGTTTGCAGAAATTTTCTCCCACTTTGCAGCATGTCTGTTCACTCTGTGGATAGTTTCCTTTGCTGTGCCAAAGCTCCTTATTTTAATTAGTTTCCATTTGTAATTTTTGCTTTTGTTGCAATTGCTTTTGGCATTTTTGTCATGAAACCTTTGCCTACTCCTGTGTCCAGATGGTGTTGCTTAGGTTGTCTTCCGGGGTTTTTATAGTTTGGGGTTTTACATTTAAGTCTTTAATTCGTCTTGAGTTATTATTTATATATTGTGTAAGCAAGGAGTCCAGTTTCAGTCTTTTTTCATATGGCTTGCCGGTTATCCGAGCACCATTTAAAGTAGGGAATTCTTTCCTCATTGCTTGTTTTTGTCAGGTTTGTTGAAGATCAGATAGTTGTAGGTATGTGGCCTTAATTCTGGGTTCACTATTATGTTCCATTGGCCTATGTGTCTGTTTTTTGCACCAGTACCATGCTGTTTTGGTTACTGTGGCCCTGTAGTGTAGTTCTAAGTTAGGAAACATGATGCCTCCAGGTGTGTTCTTTTTGCTTAGGATTGCTTTGGCTATTCAGTCTCTTTTTTGGTTTCATATGAATTTTAAAGTTTTTTCCAGAGAAACGTTTCATAGTTTTCTGTGTAGAGGTCTTAAACATCTTCTGTTGTATTTATTACTGGGCATTTATTTTTTTTTATGGTACTATAAATAGCATCTTTTACTGTTTTCTAACTTTATGCTGCCAGTATCTAGAAATATAATTAATTTTTATATATTGACCTTGTATCCAACAACTTTGTTAATCTTCATGATTGATTTTTAAGTATGTATCTGTGGTTTTTTTGGATTAATCACATATGCACTCATAACTATGAATAATGACAGTTGTTTCATCTTTTCCAGCCTTTGTGTCTTTTAGGTCTTTTACTTGCTTTACTGCATTAACTTAGACCTCCAATAGAGTGTTGAGTAAATGTCATAAGAATTTATCCTTATGTGATTCCTAATTCAAGGGAAAGTTTTCAACATTTTTACTCATGAGTATGATGTTTGTTGTGTATTTTACGTAAGCATTCATTATAATAACAGTGTTCCCTTCTAGTCTTACTTTGATAAGGCTTTATCATGAATATATCTTGAATTTCATCAGGTGCTTTTTTAAAATAACTTTTGAGATGATCATATTTCTTATCATTTTTTGTGAGTTTATTTTCAATTTCTTTATTTTCTGGGCTTATCTTTATTTACTCCACTTGGCTTTCTTTGGATTTAATTTGGTGCTGTTTTTCTAACTTCTTGGAATGCATTTGTAACTTCAGACTTTTTCTCTAGTATATGCAATTAAAGCTACAGATTTCTCTTTAAGCAAGTTTGGAGGTATCACATTTTCACTATTGTTCACTTCAAAATACTTTAAAATTTATTTTGTAATTCCTCCTGAGATCTTTCTTCTTTTTTTTTTCTGAGATAGAGTCTTGCTCTGTTGCCCAGGCTGGAGCGTAGTGCAATCATAGCTCACTGTAGCCTCAAAGTAGCCTCAAACTCCTAGGCTCCAGTGATTCTCCTACTTTGGCCTCCCAAAGCAGTGAGATTATAGGCATGAGCTACCATGCCTGGCCAAAAGTGATTTCTGAACTTCCAAACATATAGAGGATTTTCCTTTTTTTTTTTTTTTTTTGGTTCTTGATACTAACTTAATAGTGCTATTGTAAGATAACATACTGTCTTTGGTTTCAGTCCTTTGAACATTATTGAGACTTTCTTTTACCAGTGAATAATCAACATTAAATGTTCTGTGTGATCTTGAAAAGAACGTGTGATTGCAAATTTGTTGGGTACTATGTTGTATGTATGTTACTTTTCTTGATGTAAATAAAAGTATGGTCTTGTTATTTCTTTTTTTTCTTTTTCTTTTCTTCTTATTCTTTTTTTTTTTTTTTTTCAGAGTCTCACTCTGTCACCCAGGCTGGGGTGCAGTGGTGCGATCTTGGCTCACTGCAACTTCTGCCTCCCGGGTACAAGTTATTCTCCTGCCTCAGCCTCTCAAATAGCTGGGATTACAGGCGCATGCCACTACTCTTGGCTAATTTTGTAGTTTTAGTAGAGATGGGGTTTCACCATGTTGGCCAGGGTGGTCTCGAACTCCCGACCTCAAGTGATCCATCTGCCTCGGCCTCCCAAAGTGCTAGGATTACAGGCATGAGTCACCGGGCCTGGGCTGGCCTTGTTATTACCAAGACCTCTCACCTTTATTCTGGGTCTTCTTCCCCCATTGTCTCTTACCCACTCCTGTTTAATTTGGATTCTTCAGCCTGCAATTTCTCCTTAAGGTGGAGGTTTGTCCTGGAAGAGTTTCAATTGGTTTTAAGAATTCTAAAAAATATGACTATAGCTTATCTTCCCAATGCTTCTCAATTTTAGTAGTAGTAATAAGATGTGGAGAATATATTTTACTTTCATTAACCCGAAGAGCAAGCCAGCAGAGACTGAGATTTCATGTTTATGAAATCAGAAATGGTAGTTCTTTGCAGATGTTATTTTTTTCACTTTGGCAGTAATTAGTTGGCTTAGATATATAAAAGGGCCTATTTTCAAGTTTTAAAATGGTGTATTGAAACTGATGATTCATCTTATTTTGAGAAGCAGTGAAGACTAGCCGTTTTGCATGGGATACATCAAATAATTACTGTATTTCTAGTTTTAAAGAATTGACCATTACTCAATGAACTGAAATCTGTTTTCCCGCTTGTTTCAGATCGAAGACTAAATGAAGATTTTAGGCGGTATCAAATGGAAAGTTTTTCCAAATATTCATCTGTACAGGTATGTAAATTATAAATTCTACTTGGGAATATTCTCATGTGAAGTTGCCTACAGCACTTTGAAACTTGGCTTACAACTTTGATTCCTGTAATGGGAAAGCTTGTTTTTGCTTAATGAAAGTAAATCTTTTGACAATAGAAATTGCCCTTTTCCCCCCAACCAGAGTTGGAGCTTATATATTATATATGATATATAAAATGTCTGAGTTCTAAAATGGGAATTCATTCGAGTTCTGAAACATCCTAAAATTGTTTCTCAATATACCTCTAGTTCTGTGTTCTAATTCTCTGCATTCTCATAAATTATGACAGGAGCATAAACTAATGCAAATTGTAAATAATATATGGTTTTTTAAAAATATCTTTTTTCCTTGGTTGTCATATCTTCTTATTTAAATATTGTGTTTAAAAAATTATTTAGCCAGAAAGGTATAATTATTGGTGGACCTTGCATTACAGAATATTAAAAGGAAGGTAATGGCTCGTAGATTAGTGGTGACTCTCTATAGAAGCAAATAAGAGTGTTTTACTTTTACATAAATGCATTTTATAATTAGAACTTAATCTGGTTTGGATCTGTGTCCCCGCCCAAATCTCATGTGGAATTGTAATCTCCAGTGTTGGAGGAGGGGGCCTGGTTGAAGGTGAGTGGATCATGGGTGCAAATTTCCCCCTTGCCCTTCTCGTGATAGTGAGTTCTCATGAGATCTGGTGGTTTAAAGTGTGTAGCACCTCCCCATTCTCTCTCTTCCTCCTGCTCTGGCCATGTAAGACATTCCTGCTTCCCCTTCATCTTCCACCATGATTGAACATTTCCTGAGGCTTCCCAAGCCATGCTTCCTGTATAGCCTGTGTTGGGGAAACCAGCCCCACACCACCTGGCAGGTACCCCGAGTCCAGCGGAGACAAAGGAGTTACAAAGAGACAGAATAAGCGTTTAAAAGGTGGGTCCAGGGGACCAGAGCGTTAGAGCCTTGCTCATGGCCCAGAGCTCTTCGGCTCCACCTAATTTATTGGTTTACAAGCTCTTTGTTCTTAGGGCATATGGGAGGGGTAGGAAGGGATGAGGAAAAGGCTCATGAGGGAGAACTCGTGAGTCATTCAATAAGAAGTATAGCAGTGGCGGTTTCTGTGAATTTCCTTGAGCAAAGGTGTGTGTCTAAACTACTTAAGATCTTTAACTTATTGGGACTGAAATGGGTAGGAGTGGGTTTCAGGAGGAGCCAAGATGTTTGATTATACTCCACTGCTTCAAGGGAGTGTTATCTCCCTGGGCAACCTGTGGAATGCCGCTGAGCTGTTATGCTCTCGGGGCATAAACATATAAAGGCAATAAGGAGACTTTTCTCCTCAGAGGCCGCCCATGGCTTCCCATGGGTGTTTCACACGGGGGAGACCAACTCATCTGGCACCCCAGAAACTCTCTCTCCCACAGACTGCAGAACTATGAGCCAACTAAACCTTTTTTTCTTTATAAATTACCCAGTCTCAGATGTTTCTTTATAGGAGTGTGAGAATGGACTGATATAGAAAATTTGTACCAGTGAATGGGCATTGGTATAAAGATACCTGAAAATGTGGAAGTGACTTTGGAACTGCATAATGGGCAGAGGTTGGAACAGTTTGGAGAACCCAGAAGAAGACAGGAAGATGAAGGAAAGTTTGGAACTTCCAAGAGACTTGTTGAATGGTTGTGACCAAAATGCTCATAGTGATACGGATAGTGAAGTCTAGGCTGAGGAGGCCTCAGATGGAGAAGAGGAGCTTACTGGGAACTAGTGTAAAGGTCACTCTTGCCATGTTGTAGAAAGAGACTGGCAGCTTTGTGCCCCTGCTCTAAGGATCTGTGGAACTTTGAACCTGAGAGAGATGATTTAGGGTATTTGGCAGGAAACTTTCCAAGCAAGAAAGCACTCAAGATGTAGCCTGGCTGCTTTTAACAGTGTAAGTTCATATGTGTTTGCAAAGAGATGGTCTGAAACTGGAACTTATATTTAGAAGGGAAGTAGAGCATAATAGTTTGGAAAGTTTACAGCCTGACCATGTGATAGAAAAGAAAAACCCATTTTCTAGGGAGAAATTGAAGCTGGCTGCAGAAATTTGCATAAGTAAAGAGGAGCTGAATGCCCAAGACAATAAAGATGCCTCAAAGGCATTTTGGTGATGTTCACCACAGCCCCTACCATCACAGGCCTGGAGACATAGGAGGGAAGAATGATTTTGTGGGGGCAGGCCCAGGGCCCCACTGCCCTGTACAACCTCAGGACATTGCTCCCTGGTCCCAGCTGCTTCAGCTCCAGCTGTGGCTAAAAGGGCCCCAGATAACATCGCAGTCAACTGCTCCAGAGGGTGGAACCCATAAATCTTGGCAGCTTCCACATGGTATTAAGCCTGTGGGTGCACAGAGGGCAAGAGTTGAGGCCTGGGAGCTTCTGCCTGGATTTCAGAGGATATATGGAAATGCCTGGATGTCCACACAGAAGCCTGCTGCAGGGGCGCAGCCCTCATGGAGAACCTCTGCTAGGGCAGTGCAAAGAGGAAATGTAGGGTTGGAGCCCCCACACAGAATCCACACTGGACACTGCCTAGTGGGGCTGTGAGAAGGGAGCTACCATCCTCCGGACCAAAGAATTGTAGGTCCACCAACAGCTTGCACTATGTGCCTGGAAAAGCCTCAGGCACTCAATGCCAGACTGTGAAAGCAGCTGCAGGGAATGTACCCTGCAGAGCAACAGAGGCAGAGCTGCCCAAGGCTGTGGGAGCCCACCCCTTGCATCAGTGTTGCCTAGATGTGAGACATGGAGTCAAAGGAGATTATTTTGGGCCCCTAAGGTTTAATGACTGCCCTTCTGGGTTTTGGACATGCCCCGCGGCCTGTAGACCCTGTCTTTTGATCAATGTCTCCCTTTTGGAAAGGGAGTATTTACCCAATTCTATACCTTCATTGTATCTTGGAAGTAACTAACTTGTTTTTTATTTCACAGGGTCATAGGCAGAAGGGTCTTGTCTTGTCTCAGATGAGACTTTGGACTGTGGACTTTTGAGTTAATGCTGAAATGAGTTAAGACTTGGGGGACTGTTGAGGAGGGACGATTGTATTTTCCAGTGTGAGGATATGAGATTTGGGAAGGGCCGAGGGTGGAGTGACACACTTTGGATTTGTGTCCCTGCCCAAATCTAATGTCGAATGGTAATCACCAGTGTTGGAGGAGAGCCCTGGTGGGAGGTGATTGTATCATGGGGGTGAATTTTCTCCTTGCTGTTCCCCTGATAGTGAGTGAGTTCTCATGAAATCTGCTTGCTTATAAATGGGTAGTACCTCCCCATTTTCTCTCTTCCTCCTGCTCCAGTCATGTAAGATGTGCCTTCTTTCCCTTCACCTTCTGCATTCTGAAAGTTTCCTGAGGCCTCCCCAGCCAGGCTTCCTGTACAGCCTGTGGAACAATTAGCCAATTAAACCTCTTTTCTTGATAAATCACCCAGTCTTATGTATTTCCTTATAGCAGTGCAAGAATGGACTAATGCAGAACTAAAATTATTTTCAAGGTATTAAAAGTGAAGAGCTTGTTTTTAGTATTAAAAAGGAATAGTTTATTTGGTTGGCTTGAGTACTTATTCTTATAGATATTTTTTAATGTATATTCAATATTTAGCTGACTGCTCTATGCTTTTATTTCCAAAGACCAGATTCAGAGTCCACAGAGTCTTGAAGCTATCCATTCACTATTTGCTGTTATAACCATATTATTTTTATTATAATATATAATTTTTATGCATACTTAATAACTGTAATAATTTAAGTGATAGAGAATCTTTCATATTCCAACAGCCTTTAAGTTTTGCTCAGAATCTTAAGATTTTTGCTTCTGTTTAGTGTCTTGTGGAATAGGCCTGAACAAAAGAGTAAAAAAAAATTTTTATTTTAAAGCCCCAGATGACTCTGGCCACGGTAATGCATCATATCTGTGGAAAGCTATGGTTGACTTGATTATGAAAGATGTTTTTAACAGATAGCATAATGGTGACTCTAGCCTTTCAGATGCACCTGCATTATGCATTGTGATTATACTAATTAAAGCTCAAGAGTAGCAGACCTAGTAGGGACAAATCTTCCTTTACAAGATTGTCCTCTTTGGAAGAATTATAACTGCTTTACTTTTGTGAAGCTAACCATTCTTCTCTTATGTGTACTATTCTTGTTGTCTTGCAACCAAATCTTGATTCCTATCTCTTTAGTGGTAACATACTGTTACTGCCTAAGAGTCCTCTGCCATCCTCCATATCTTCAGAACATGTTGCTGTTTCCAGACTCCCATCCCCATGGACCTTGCTTTTCACTGCATGTTTTGAGGTGAGGAGTAAGAGAGGAGGTGATATGACAGCATGAGGAAATTAATCTGCTTTCTAGCAATAATGCCCATATCCTTGGCCATATGTAATGCATCCCTAGAGGGTTCTTTACCTCATATATTACTTCGGTTTCTGAAAAAATGTTCAAGAGAATTTTTTCTTTTTTTATTTTGTTTTAGTATGTTTTGCAGTAAAGGAAGAAGGAAACCATTATCAATGGGTATGTGGGATCCAGGAGTGCTAGCTCATATATCTTATCACTGTAACTTAGTTGTTGCTACTAGCAACAGAAATCTTTTATAAATTTGTGTTTCCCCTTTTTGTTTAGCCATGTTTCCCAGATGCCTAGAACAGTTCTGGTCAGTAGGCATTTGATAAATATTTGTTGAGTGAATGAAACAACTATGTTCTTCCTCTTTTTCCTTCCCTCCTACCCACTTATCTTCCAACATGATTTCAACTCTTATGTGTCAAATATAGTGAAAGTCATGGAGATGTGAAAAGTCATGGTCAGCTTGGGAAATACAAGTAGTTCTTACTTTTTAGTTTTATTTTTCAAGATAAAGTCCTAAAGTCCTTACATTGGGTGCCATAAAATTGCCAGAAGTTGTGTTAAATGAACATACTTTATTCAGTCTTTTTATGATATTGGAAAAACAAAGCAACAGGAGTTTGATATTTATTTCTTGTATTTTAAGCTGGAACTTCAAACTTGATTGTCTATATAAACTTTGTTAGGTGTAATGGTGAAAATTCTTTAGTGCAGTTATTACATAATGATCATTTAGGCTTGCTTTGGATCAAAGTAAGTTTTCTGAATTGCCTCAAGATAACCATTTTGAAGCTTATTGTTCTTAGGGGACTATGTTACCTTTATGGTAGCTAACTATACTTTACGTAAATTTTGTGGACATAGGCTGAAATTTGAAGTCTTCCAATGTGTTGAATAGCTTATATATTTAATATATTAAATATTTGGCTCATTATACTTTCATAATTCAATCATCTGTTCTCTTCATTACATTTGTATGTAACTTTTAAAAGATATTTTAAATAGCTGGTTTCTTGATTTTTTTCAGGGTTGTAAAATTCAGTTGTCTTTGATTATTTTGTGTTTTCTATATAAGTAAAAAGTATTTCAAGTGGCATTGCTCTCTGAAGTACAGTAGTTGGCACTAGGTGACAAATATTCAAGATTAGAAAAAGATTTGCTTAAGAAGCTTAGTGGAAAATTTCCCTTTTTCCCAGTCCTTTATTCCATTTTTTTTCTTGAATACTTGCTTTTTTTTTCATACCCAGGCTAATTGAATCCTCTTTGTTATCTACGCCACACCGGTATATGTATCTACTGAGGGAGCTAAGGTTAGTGCTTTGGTCTCTTGGTACTTGCTGAAGGGACAGAATGGAATACTAAAAATAAGTTTATTTTCTCTGAAAGCTCACCTAAAAATATTTTCTTCTTCTAGCTTGGGAATTCTTTTTCTACTCATTACCCTTTGTACCCAAAATTAAAACAAATAAATATTGAGATAGTCTGCTGGGGGAAAAAAGGAGATACATAAGGTAGAATAAAAAGAAAGGGAGGAATACATATAAAAGCATAGTGCCAAAGAGGTATGAGTGGCTATGGAGGGGAAAAACATCATAGTCTAAATATATTCACTTATTCAACAAACATTAATATACTCATTCAATGAATTTTGAGTTCATGCCTATGCTAGGTAAGCTCTGGGGACAGGACTATGAATAACATAGACAAAGGATCCCTGTTCTGTAGAAGATATGTGAATGAATGAAAGAGATGTGAAGGAATGAATGAAATAATTAAAATTACAGTATCCTATGAAAGAAGCAGGGTGCTGAGATAGAGATTAATATGTATGTTATTATGGAGGTGGTGGTGGTAGAGACCTATTTTTGATAGAAAGGTCATAGAAGACCTTTCTAAGGTAGTAACATTCCAGCTGGGACAGAAAATGAAGATTGAGCCAAAGAATGGACCAAGAAGGGGCCTTGAGGCAGGGAAGAATTTGACATGTCTTGTACAATGTATAGGAGTTTGTGCCAACTGTCATAAAAAAATAGTTATTTGAAAATTATATTAAAGAAATGGCAAGGCTACTCCTGTTGCTCATGAGTTAACAAATACAAGACTCAACAGATAAAATATAACAATTCACCTGTACTATTTGAGTTGAATCAGATTATTAGCTTTCTAGACCGGCACTGTCCAGTAGATCTTTCTCTGATGATAGAAATGTTATATAATTCTGCACTGTCCAGTATTGTAGCCACTAGTTACATGGGGCTTTTGACCACTTGAAATTAGGCTAATACAACTGAAGAAATGAATGTTTTATTTAATTTTCATATTAAATGAATAAAATTTAGATTTAAATAGTTATATATGCTTGAAGCTTTTGTATTGGCCATTGTAATTCTGGACTCTCTATTGATGAGTTACCCACGTAAAACCTTGAAGGGATGATTTTGCATCATCCCATGATGCTAGGAGATTGATGATTTAACACATTACAGGGAGTTGACTGTAAGTTTATCAGTTACTTATGCTGTTCGTCAACATTTATTGATAAATGATGAAAATTAACCTCCTCATGATATAAACGAAAGGATTAAGAGATTTCCTGCAGTCCTTTAAAATGTACAGGAACATCTTCCCAAAATGCTAGCCAACCTGTACTTTATTTCCTTCCAAAGGATAGAGGAAAAGATGCAATTTACATATTTGGTAGCCAATATTTATTAGAGTGAGAGCCAAAAGTAAACATTCAAAACTGTAATTAGAGTGCTTACAGAGTGTATAATTTTGTTAGAGAAAGAAAAGTATCCAGAGAATTTGCTTACATAACCACAATACAATATTATTGACATTTTTTTCTGTGATACACCATCAGCATTATTTCAGGGAGTCATCTGGAGAGCAAAGATAATTAGAGACCCAGTGTGGTAGCTGATGCCTGTGAACTCAGCATTTTGGGAGGCTGTGGCAGGAGGATCATTGAGACCAGGGGTTTGAGACCAGCCTGAGGAACATAGCAAGACCCCATCTCTATAAAAAGTTAAAAAATTAGCCGGGCATGATGGTGCATGCCTATAGTTCTGGTTACCCAGGAAGCAGAGGTGGGAGGATCTCTTGAGTCCAGAAATTCGAGGCTGGAGTGAGCTATGCTTGCACCATTGCACTCCAGTTTGGGTGATAGAACAAGAACCTGTCTCTAATTTTTAAAAAGATAAATAGAAATTAATTACACAATATCAGTTATTTAAGATTCAAGAAATACACAATTCTTTAAATTATTCCTTTATTTAGTATAGCTTTTTTAAATTTTGTTTTAGAGAAAATGAAAAGAACATTTGTAAATGTTTTTTAGGCAATTTCAGTCTTATTCTCTAAGCATGATTTTTTCTATTACTGCTCGAGTTATTAAGTAATGGAGTTTTTTCTTCTAAAAGTTTCACTAGCAAATGGAAAAGGATTGCTAAATCAACATTTTTATTCTTTCAAAGATTTTCTATCTCTGTTTTGAAATATGCTTATTCTCATCTTACAACTTTTATAATTACTTTGGATTATTAGGTCATTTATTCTTAGGTTCGTATTTTCTTAGCAATTGTTATTAGAAAATAGTTTTTGAACAGTGTTTTCACATAATTCAGCTTAACTAATATTTTCTATCACTACCTTTGTGGAAAGAATTATGCCAAGTGCTTTAGTGATATGAAGTTAAAATAAAATGACCATATTGTAGGAACTTAAAGGCTAATAAAAATATGGAATGAGACAAATATCAAATAACAAGATAAACAGCATATTATTTGTATCTTAAGAACATTAAAAACAAATGTGTGTATTAAGGGTGACAAAAGAAATATAGTTGGAGAGATCAGGAAAAGTTTCTTGAAAATGTAGCATATCTTACGGACATTGAAGAGTAGATGAAATTTCAAACTAACTTGATGAAGACAAAACTAGAGGTGGTTGGGAGTGGTTCAGATGGACCCACTAGCATAAGAAGCCAAAGGAGATGAGAAAATGAGAGTTGTATTTAGGGAATAAAATATATTTCAGTTTATATAATGTATTTGGCATATAGGAGAGAATATGAAAAACATTAGGTTTAGTAAGTTATAGAGAGCTATGAATGATTATGTTGAGGAGTCTGGATTTAATTGAATAAGCATTGGTAGACTGCTAAGTATTTTTAAAAGAATGACTTTCTGAATAATCTGAAAGAAATTCATTTATTCATTGGTCTATAACTAATTTGTTGTGCATCTATAAGTAGTGAGACATTGTGTTAGACTCTGGGAATATGATAGTGAATAAGGCAGGCATTAGTGTGATCTATAAGGTAAATTAAAATGGAGTGAAATGTGATAGGAGTAACAATCAGGAAACCCATATAAATGATGGGTAGATCAATTAGCCCATATATTACTGTTTTATAAAATGTTATTCATCCCCCACCTTCAGTCATAAGAATTTATAAGATTTTGATTTCATAACAATTCCTAAGAAACTTGAGAAGTAATATTTTAAAAGTTTGAACTGTTCAGTCATCCCAAGTAGCTTTTGTAAGTAACTTCTGAACAATTGAAAGTTAAATACAATGGACAGAGTAGCATGCAGAGGCTCACATTGTGAATTTTTGCTCCAGAACGACTACAGGAATAAGTCAGGAAATCCAAGAGGACCCATAGACCCTCTGAAGGAAGCAGATTGCAGGACCCAGGAGACATCCCAAATACCATGGTATGCATGGCTGAGAGACCCACAGATGGTTCACATCACAGGACTTTGTACAGACAATCCCCAGTACAAGCCCAGAGCCTAGTAGACTTGCTGGGTGGCTAGATCCAGAAGAGAGATAGCAATCACTACAGATAGACTCTCAGGAAACCACATCCATAGAAAAAGGGGCAGAGTGTTACATCAAGGGAACACCCCAAGGGACAAAAGAATCTGAACAACAGTTTTCAGCCCTAGACCTTTCCTCTGATAGAGCCTACCTAAATGAGAAGGAACCAGAACACCAACCCTGATAATATGACAAAACAAGGCTCTTCAGCACCCCCCAAGAATCACACTAGTTCACCAGGAATGGCTCCAAACCAAGAATAAATCCCTGATTTACCTGAATAAGAATTCAGGAGTTTAGTTATTAAGCTAATCAGGGAGGGACAAGAAAAGGCGAAGCCCCGTGCAAGAAAATCCAAAAAATGAGACAAGAAGTGAAGGGAGAAATATTCAAGGAAATAGATAGCTTGAAGAAAAAAACAATAAAAAATTCGGGAGACTTTGGACACACTTTTAGAAATGCAAAATGCTCTGGAAAACCTCAGCAATAGAATTGAACAAGTAGAAGAAAGAAATTCAGAGCTCAAAGACAAGGTCTTCGAATTAACCCAATCCAACAAAGACAAAAAAGAATAAGAAAATATGAACAAAGCCTCCAAGAAGTCTGGAATTATGTTAAACAACTAAACTTAAGAATAATTGGTGTTCCTGAGGAAGAAGAGAATTCTAAAAGCTTGGAAATATTTGGGGGAATAATTGAGGAAAACTTCCTTGGCCTTGCTAGAGTCCTAGACATCCAAATACAAGAAGCACAAAGAACATCTGGGAAATTCATCGCAAAAAGATCTTTGCCTAGGACATTGTCATCAGGTTATCCAAAGTTAAGATGAAGCAAAAAATCTTAAGACCTGTGAGACAAAATCACCAGGTAACCTATAAAGGAAAACCTGTTATATTAGCAGCAGATCTCTCAGTAGACAAGCTGGAAGGGATTAGGGCACTATCTTCAGCCTCTTCGGACAAAACAATTATCAGCCAAGATTTTATATCTAGCTAAACTAAGCATCATATCAAGGAAAGATACAGTCATTTTCAGGCAAACAAATGCTGAGCAAATTCACCATTACCAAGCCACCACTACAAGAACGGCTAAAAGGAGCTCCAAATCTTAGAACCAAAACTTGGAAGCACATCAAAACAGAACCTCTTTAAAGCATAAATCACACAGGACCTATAAAACAAAAATATAAGCTAAAAAAGCAAAAACAAAAAAACCAAAGTACACTGGCAACAGAGAGCATGGTGAATGCAACAGTACCTCACATTTCAATACTAACACTGAATGTAAATGGCCTAAATGCTCCACTTAAAAGATACAAAACTGCAGAATGGATAACAACTCACCAACCAACTATCTGCTGCCTTCAGGAGGCTCACCTAAAACATAAGGACTCACATAAACTTAAAGTGAAGGGGTGGAAAAATAATTTCATGCAAATGGGCACCAAAAGCGAGCAGGAGTAGTCATTCTTATATCAGACAAAACAAAAAACAAAAAACAAAAAAAACTTTAAAGCAACAGCAGTTAAAAGAGACAAAGAGGGACATTATATGATGGGTAAAAGGCCTTATCCAACAGGAAGATATCACAATCTTAAACATAAATGCACCTAACACTGGAGCTTCCGAATTTATATAACAATTACCAATAGACCTAACAAGTGAGATAGACAGCAACACATTAATAGTTGGAGACTTCAATACTCCACTGACAGCCTTAGGCAGGGCATCAAGACTGAAAGTCAACAAAGAAACAAGGGATTTAAACTATACCTTGGAACAAATGGACTTAACAGATATATACAGAACATTCCATCCAACAACCACAGAATACACATTCTGTTCAACAGTGAATAGAACTTTCTCCAAGATGGACCATACAATAGACCATAAAATGGGCCTCAATAAATTGAAGAAAATTGAAATTATGTCAAGCACTCTCTCAGACCACAGTGGCATAAAACTGGAAATTGACTCCAAAAAGAACCTTCAAAACCATGCAAATACATGGAAATTAAGTAAGCCTGCTCTTGACTGAGCATTGGGTCAAAAACGAAATCAAGATAGAAATTTAAAAATTCTTCTAACTGAATGACAGTAATGACACAACCTACCAAACCTGTGGGATACAGCAAAGGCAGTGCTAAGAGGGGAAAGTTCATAGCTCTAAACACATACATCAAAAAGACTGAAAGAGCACAAACTGACATTCCAAGGTCACACCTCAAGGGACTAGAGACACAAGAACAAACTAAACCCAAACCCAGCAGAACAAAGGAAATAACCAAGATTAGAGCAGAATTAAGTGAAATTGAAACAAACAAGCAAGCAAACAAACAAAAAACCCAAAAGATAAATAAAACAAAAAGCTGGTTCCTTGAAGGGATAAATAAAATTGATAGACCATTAACAAGATTAACCAAGAAAAGAAGGGAGAAAATCCAATAACCTCACTAAGAAATGAAACGCGAGGTATTACAACTGTCACCACTGAAATACAAAAGATCATTTAAGTCTACTATGAACACCTTTATGCACATAAACTAGAAAACCTAGAAGAGATGGATAAATTCCTGCAAAAATACAACCCTCCTAGATTAAATCAGAAAGAATTAGATTACCTGAACAGATTGATAACAAGCAGCGAGATTGAAGTGGTAATTAGAAAATTACCAACAAAAAAAAAAGTCCAGGACCAGATGGATTCACAGCAGAATTCTACCACACATTCAAAGAAGAATTGGTGCCAATACTTTTGATACTATTCCCCAAGATAGAGAAAGAAAGAACCCTCCCTAATTCATTCTGTGAAGCCAGCATCACACTATTATCAAAACCAAGAAAGGACATATCCAAAAAAGAAAACTACAGACCAATGTCCTTGATAAACATAGATACTAAAATCCTTAACAAAATACTAGCTAACTGTATCCAACAACGTAGCGAGAAGATAATCCACTATGATTAAGTGGGTTTTAGAGCAGGGCTGCAGGGATGGTTTAACATATGCAAGTCAATACGTGTGATACTCAACATAAACAGAATTAAAAACAGAAGAATCACATGATCATCTCAATAGATGCAGAAAAAGCATTCAACAAAGTCTGGCACCCCTTTAGGATTAAAACTCTCAACAAAATTGGCATACAAGGGACATACCTCAACATAATAAAAGCCATCTATGACAAACCCACAGCCAACTAATACTGAATGGGGAAAAGTGGAAAGCATTCTCTCTGAGAACTGGAACAAGACGAGGATGCCCACTCTTACCACTCCTCTTCAACATCATACTGGAAGCCCTAGCCAGAGCGATCAGACAAGAGAAAGAAATAAAGGGCATCCAGATTGGCAAAGAGGAAGTGAAACTGTCACTGTTTGCTGATGATATGATCATTTACCTTGAAAACCCTAAGGACTCCTCCAGAAAGCTTCTAGAACTGATAAAAGAATTCAGCAAAGTTTCCAGATACAAGATTAATGTGCACAAATCAGTAGCCCTTCTATACAGCAACCAAGCAGAGAATCAAATCAAGAACTTGACCCCTTTTACAAAGCTGCAAAAATAAATAAAATGCTTAGGAATATACCTAACAAAGTAGTCAAAGTACAAGGAAAACTATGAAACACTGCTGAAAGAAATCATAGATGACACAAACAGAAACACATCTCATACTCATGGATGGTAGAATCAACATTGTGAAAATGACCATATTTCCAAAAGCAATCTACAGATTCCATGCAATTCCCATCAAAATACCATTATTCTTCACAGAATTAGAAAAAACAATTCTAAAATTCATATGGAACTAAAAGAGAGCCTGCATAGCCAAAGCAGGACTAAGCAAAAAGAACAAATCTGGAGGCATCATACTACCTGATTTCAAACTATACTCTAAGGCCATAGCTACCAAAACAGCATGGTACTGGTATAAAAATAGGCACATAGACCAATGGAACGGAATAGAGAACCCAAAAATAAACCCAAATACTTAGAGCCAACTGATATTTGACAAAGCAAACAAAAACATCAAGTGGGGAAAGGACTCCCTTTTCAACAAATCGTGCAGGGATAATTGGCTAGCCACATGTAGGAGAATGAAACTAGATCCTCATCTCCCACCTTAAACAAAAATCAACTCAAGATGGATTAAGGACTTAAATCTAAGACCTGAAACTGTAAAAATACTAGAAGATAACATTGGAACAACCCTTCTAGACATTGGCTTAGGCAAGAATTTCATGACCAAGAACCCAAAAGCAAATGCAATTAAAAACAAAGATAAATAGCTGGGATCTAATTAAACTAAAGGGCTTTTGTACTGCAAAGGAACAGTCAGCAGAGTAAACAGACAATCCACAGAGTGGGAGAAAATCTTCACAATCTATGCATCTGACAAAGGACTAATACCCAGAATCTACAACAAACTCAAACAAATGGGCAAGAAAAGAACAAATAATCCCATCAAAAAGTAGGCCAAGGACCTGAATAGACAATTCTCAATAGAAGATATACAAATGGCCAACAAACATATACATATAGACAAATTCTCAAAAGAAGATATACAGATGGCCAACAAACATATGAAAAAGTGCTCAACATTACTAATGATCATGGAAATGCAAAACAAAACCACAACGTGATACCACCTTACTCCTGCAAGAATGGCCATTATCAAAAAATCAAAAAACAGTAGATGTTGGCGTGGATGCAGTGAACAGGGAACACTTCTACACTGCTGGTAGGAATGTAAACTAGCACAACCACTGTGGAAATCAGTGTGGAGATTCCTTAAAGAACTAAAAGTAGGACTACCATTTGATCCAGCAATCCTACTACTGATATATACACACACACACACATACATATATATGTGATGGAATACTACTTATCCTTGAAAAGGAATGAATTAATGGCATTTGCAGCAACCTGGATGAGATTGGAGACAATTATTCTAAGTGAAGTAATTCAGGAATGGGAAACCAAACATTGTATGTTCTGACTCATAATTGGAAGCTAAGCTATGAAGATGTAAAGCATAAGGATGACACAATGGACTTTGGGGACTCAGGTGGAAAGGGTGGCAAGGAGGTGAGGGATGAAAGACAAATTGGGTGCAGTGTATACTGCTCGGGTGTTGGGTGCACCAAAATGTCACAAATCATCACTAAAGAACTTACCCATGTAACCAAACACCACCTGTTCCCCAGCAACCTGTAGAAATAACATTTAAAAAAAAAAAAAAAAGTTAAAATATTACTTCTTTGCCAGGCATGGTGGCTCACGCCTGTAATCCCAGCACTTAGGGAGGCCAAGGCAGGTGGATCGCTTGAGGTCAGGAGTTTAAGGCCAGCCTGGCCAACATGGTGAAACCCCATCTCTACTAAAAATAACAAAAATTAGCCAGGTATGGTGGTATGCACCTGTTATCCCAGCTACTTGGGAGGCTGAGTCAGGAGAATCACTTGAACCAGGGAGGTGGCTGTTGCAGTAAGCTGAGATCATTCCATGGCACTCCAGCGTGAGTGACAGAGCCAGACTCTATCTCAAAAAACAAATAAAACTTCTTAATCTTTTTAAAGTATAAACTATTGTTAGTAGTCTAGGATAAATCAGTTTTTGAAATTATGTAGGCTACTAGATGCATTTATTATTTTGTTCACCAAGAGGTACTATGGAAGATTGCCTTTTCATTTTACCTAATTCATATTGCAGTTCTCCTGGAACCATGTGAACATATCATTTAAAATTTTGCATTTCAAGAGTTAATCCTTCCCATGTTGGTAAAATGCTTATAATATATACATTGGGTTAGCCAATGATTTGTTTTTTTTTTTCTCATGTTTAGAAAAAAACAAAAGATAATGAGCCAAGATTTATTAAGATTTATTAAGTGTTTTCTATGTCAGGAATTAGGTTAAACACTTTATATATCTTATTCTTTATTTTGAAAAATTTATATACCTCAAGCATACATCAAAATATAGAAGATAAAACTAATACCTGTGTACCTACCACCCAATTGTGTCAGTTCTTAACTTTTTGCCATATTTGTTTCAGATTTTGTTATGTTTCATGTTTTATTTTTGTTAAGAAATTAAATATCGCAGAAATAAATGAATCTCTGTATGCACTTATTTCCTCACCTGTTTCCTTCTGTCCCTTCCCAGTGGTAATTACTATCCTTAACTTAGTGTTTTTCAATACTATTCATGCTTTAATACTTTATATGATTATACCTGAAATTACTTTATAGTGCCATTTGTCACATTTTTAAACTAATAAGTGATGATAGCATGCTGTATGTATCCTGCAAAAGCTATTATGTGCTCAACATTATTTTTAATATTTGAAATATATTTTACCAGTTTATGTACTGTAACTATTGCTACATTCCATTGTATTACTATACCAAAATGTATCCATTCTCTTGACAAAGAAATTTAGATTTTGTCTAATTCTTTAATTTTGCGATAATGTTTCAGTACAGTCTTGAACATGTCTCCATATATACATCTGAGATTTTTTTTAGTATGTCTACCTAAAATTGGCGTTATCTTAAGATTTACTAGAATTGCTGGAGGTGGTTGCAATAATTTTCATTCTAATTCATGGTCTATAAGAGTGTTCATTGTGAAACAACCTTTTAACATTTGGTAGTAATGTCAAATATTTTGTTTTGTCAGTTTGACTTGTGTGAAATAACATCTCACTTTTGTTTTTATTTGTATTTCTCTAATTATTGGTGAGATTATTCTTGCTTTTATTTGTTATTGATCTCAGATTTCCTCTGTTATATTTTTTCTAATAATACCCTTTGGTCATTAAAACATAGTAAACTTTAAATTGTGGGCTTTCATTTATCTGGTTTATATGTTTTCTAATAGAAAAATTTTAACTTTTAATACAGTTAAATGTATATGTTTTTCTGCTGTGAATTTTATTACTGTGTCTTAAGAAGTTCCTCACTAGCATATATGAGCCTCTCACATTTAAGTCTTTATTCAGTCTGGAATTTATTATTGTGGATTGTTTAGGACAGGGCTCTGTTTTTTTTCTCTGTATAATAACCATTGCTTCCAGCATTTATTATTTGATGTTTTCCCTACTGACTTATCTATATCAAGTTTGCATATATGCATAGCTTGTTCAGTGTCTGGTTACTCTAATTTTGTCTGTTGCTATTTTGTGTTTCCCTCCCAGAATAATAGGGTTTAGTCACTACAACTGGAAAGAAAATAAATTGTTGTGAAATTGCTAATTTAGAATTCACACTTGAAATACTTTGATATTCTATGAGTCAAACTTAAACTTAGTACACTCTTGCAGGATATTGGTGCTTTGAGCCTTTTACTTATTTCCTGATTACAATAAATTACATTATATAAATAAATTACAACGCATTTATTTATTGTAATTTAGAGTTTAGCAAACTATAGCCCACTGGCCAAATCCCACACGCTATGTGTTTCATTAGATAGAGATTTATTGGAACACAGCTATAGTCATTTGTTTATATATTGTCTATGACTCCATTTGTGCTACAGCAACAGGCTTGAATAGTTGGAACAAAAACCATGTTATTGACAAAGTCAAATATTTATGGTCAGGCCCTTTACAAAAAAGCTTTGCCAACTCTTGTTCTCTGTTTTATTATGAACATTAATTATATTAAATGTGAATAAATTAAACATTCTAAGTACTTAAAGTGCACACGCATACACACACACAAAACCAACTATGTGAACAACAATGTGGTTCAAAATGAAAAGGATAGAAAAAGTTACACCATGAAAATATTAATTAAAAGAAAGCAAACATAGGCCTAGTGATATGAAATGAAATAGATTTAACTAAGAAATATTACTATAGATAAATAAGTGAAGGAGTTAAATCCGTGGTAAATTTTGATACTTCTATACCCAACTTCAAGCTTCAAAATGTACAAAAGAAAAAAGTGACAAAACTAAAAGTAAAAAAGAAGCAAATATACACTTTTAAGGGAGAATTCTTTCACCATGGAGAATAAGCAAGAATAAGCAAAGAAAAAAATAAAAGGTTCTAAACAGCACAGTTGACAAAATTCCCCTAAATGACTTATGTAGAACACTGAACTCAACAAAAATAGAGTACATGTTATTTTACAGTGCATATGGAGCAGTTGCCAAAATTGACCATATGCTGAGTCATAAATTTCAACAAATTTTAAGGGTTTCAAATTACTTATAATTTGTTTTCTGACCACAGTGGCATTTAGCTATAAAGCAACAACAAAAAGTTAACCAGAAAATCCTCTGTTGCTTTGAAATTTAACAGTATGCTTCTAATGGCTTACTAGTCAAAGGAAATTTCTAAATTAAGCTAGAAAATAGTTTGAACTTAGAATACTAAAAATTAGACACATAAAAATTGTAGGATGGACATCTAATTTCAGGAATATAGTGTAAATGTACTTTTCCTTATTCCTCTAACTGTGTACATCTAAAAGCATTGAACATTATATGTAAAACAAAAATACAATGCTGAAAGCTAGAAAGAAGGCAAGCAGACTATAATCTCAATGAAAATCTCAAAACTTATACGAAAATGAACTTGAAATGGCTCATAGAATTAAACTGGAGATGTGAATCTATACAATTTTTGAGGGTCAGTTGCAGATACTCTTCAGAATCTAGAGCTAGAAAAAGAATTTTTGATATCACAAGCATGGTCCATAAAAGGAAAAAGCAAGGTCCATAAATTGAAATTTTGAACTTTACTAATGTTAAAAACTTTGGCTCTGTTACAGGAGGATGAATAAACATACCACAGACTGACAGAAAAATTTGCAAACCATATATATGACTGGTTATTACTATCTTAAATTTATATAGAACTCTTAAAATTCAACAGTTTAACAAACAAGAAAAAACAAAACCAACTATTCAATTAGAAAATAGGTGAAAGAGAGCTAGATAAAAGAATAAGTGTTATCTACTGTCATCTCCCCACAGTGCACCAATTTTGACAACCACCCTTTCTAGGAGTTTAAAGGCTAGAGAAGTTCCAGAATACTATTGGAAAATAGACACATTGAAGAATGTAAGAACAATTTCAGTTCACCTGCATCACTCCTGCCCCAAGATGGCACAGCTCGGTTCCAAGAGAGATTCCCTCAACCTGTGATTCTTCCCACAGAGGGAAGTGAGAGCATAGTGAGTAAGCTCCTGGCTTTTCTACCTGTGCAGGACACTCGAAAAGACCCACCTCTTTTTGACTCACCCAGAATAATGGGATCAGCCTGGCTAAGTGTCTAGGAGAGACTAGGAGCAGGGAGAACAGGGAGGGACTCACAGTCAGGGCTTGAAACTCAAGAAAGGGCTGTGTATCCTACTAACCACTTTGCAGACTCTATCAGCAGACCCACTCATAAGCTGCTTGGGATGCCTAACCTGTGGTGTACCACCACACCAGCTGGCCCACAGGTGATTCCAACTCTTCATATGCATTACTGCCCTCCTTCCCCATGGCTGGCTGTCATGTGCACCCCCTAGATGGGGAATGCAAGCACAGTCAGCTGGCACAACTCTTTGGGATTTAGAGAATGCACACAAACTTGAGCATTTCAGGGCACTACCCCCACAAAAAAAACATGGGATATTCTCAACACCCAGCCTAGTTTAATGGGATCCAAAGAAAGCATATAGTCTTAGGAATTCTCCCTAAACGGTAATGGCTGAAGGTATGGAGTGGGTACATCTATTGAAAATGTCTAAGAGAAGCTTGGTGAAGCTGTTTGTTTCCCAAAGCCAGTCAGTAAAGACCGCAGGAGGTGACTGCTTCATATGTTAAGATGGCAACGTAAGACTGATTCAGATGTTAAGATAGCAACGTAATACAGTTAATGAAATGAAAAGTGCAATAGAGAGCTTTAGCATTACACTTGATCAATTAGAAGAAATAATCTGTGAACTTGAAAGCAGGTCATTTGAAATTACCCAGTCAGACAAGAAAAAAAGAAGATTGAAAAGTAATTAAGAAAGCTTAAGATATTTATGAGACATTGTCAAAAGAAGTGATACACAGATTGTGAGAGTCTCAGAAGGAGGAGAGAGAAAAAAAGAAGCACAAAGCTTAAAGAAATGATGTCTGAAAAATTCCCAAATCTTGGGAGACGTCTGGACGTCAGACATAAGACCCAAGGGTTCCCAAACAGATTCACCCAAAGATGACTTTACTCAGGCACATTATAATCAAATTGTCAAAAATCAAAGACAGTTAATTCTAAAAGCAGCAAGAGAAAAGGACTTATAACATACAAAGGAACTTCCGTAGGCAATCAATGGATTTCTCAACAGATACCTTACAGATCAGGAGACAGTGGGATGGTATATTGAAAGTACTGATAGAAAAAAAAAGTCAACCAAGAATGCTTTACCCAACAAGACTACCCTTCAGAAATGTAGGAGAGATAAAGCTTTTCCTAGACAAGCAAAAGCTGAGGGAGTTCATCACCACTAGCCCCAATTTACAAAAGATGCTAAAGAGTTCTTGAAGCTGAAGCAAAGTGATACTACTTATTAAAATATTGAAACATGAAACTATCAACTCATTGATAAAAGTAAGTTTATAGTCAAGAATATTCTGACACTGTAATGGTGGTGTATAAATCACTTTTACCTCTTCTACAAAGGTTAAAAGAGAAAAAGTGACATCTGCAAGATAGCCAAGTAGAAGACTCTAGCAATTGTTCCCCTCACAAAGATAGCCAGAACAACATATAACTTCATTTTAACAAAAATAACCGAGAGTGAGTGCCAGAGTGCATCAGAGGAGTAACAGAAACCCAAGTGGGCACAGAAACTCAAAATGGCCATGTAGAAAATGGAAGGAAATGACGGGCTTCCATTACACCAACCCCCAACTGGGACCAGCTAGGAACAAGGAGGAATTTCTCTCTACTTGGGAAAGGTAAGCAGGAGGATCTCAGCAGCCTGCATTAACTCCTTGGACCTTGCCACTGGGGTCCCCTGCATTAACTCCTACGGACCTCGCCACTGGGGTGGCTGCGAGTTAATGCAGCCTGCATTAACTCCTACAGACCTCGCCACTGGGGTCCCCTGCAATCCTCAAAGTCACTAAGCTTATCTGAGGGAGCAACCTAGAGTCCACATAACCAGGAACTAACACTGTACCCTGACACCTGAGGCTTATGCAACTAGTGTGCTATGCACTGTGGAATTGAAATTGCAATTGGAGTGTGCCTTGCTCTGGGGGCAAGTAGCTCCCCTTCATTAACTGAGGCTAAGCAGCTTTTCAGCCACCTCATCTCAGTGGTTCAGCATCTCAAGACTGAGCTGTGAGAAACTGTTACACCCTTCCCTGTGGGCCAGGCAGAGGTGGAACTACTCTACCTTCCCCTCACCCCATCCACGCCCCCACCACCAGACTGGACCCAAAGTGGTACCCTGTCTCCTATGAGAACAGCACCTTAGCCACTCAGAGCAATCACATCTCCTCAATGCCTCAATTTGAAGCAGCATCCCACATTCTAGCAAAATGGTGTTTAGACCACTCAGAATGCTCATTGTCCCCAGGATTGATCTGAAGTATGCTATCACCTTCTGGGAAATTGCTGCCCTGTCAGACCTGAGTTGCTTATCCCAAGGAAACATCAGTGACTAAGCTGAAACACCCCACCCTACAGGCCAGACATCTCATACCCTGCTTCCCTGGAGCTGGACTAGCCCCTAGAGTCTGTGCTGCAGAGACACATTTCTTTCTAGGGAGTGGATTAATTGTTGGGCTATTCTGATGCCCCCAAAGCTGGAAAGACAACTGTACTTTGCCATTCTGGGAAACTTGCTGCCGCGCATCTGCCCTCACAGAAAGTAAGATACAGATAAGCCTTACCATCCTAGGGTCTATAGTCACCACTACATGGTGTCTTATCCCCTGGTATCTGAGATGCCACTGAACTCTACTGGCTCAAGTTGCTTACTTCTAGGTATACTCTGCTTCTCAGGCACAAATCTCCAGAGTACCTTTTCTTCTCAGGAGTTGGGCCAGTGCTGTGCCCTGCCCCCACCCAGGGATAGAACCACAAGTACAACGCAGCCCTTCAGCCCAAGTGGATAGGGGTGTCTTAGAGTCCAGATCCTGGCTCTGTGGGCACTCTACATCCAAACCTGCCACAAAGAGTAAACCTGAACCCCCAAACCCAGGTACCACAAAGGATAGATGAAATGCTGAGCCTAAGATCTCACCCCACAGCCATTCCAAGACCCTGCACCAGGAACCCAGTGCCACTGCAGCTACTTGTAGGCCATGTCAGACCTGGGAACAACAGGGATCCTCTTGATAAGTCTCCCTATTGTGGTGAAATTAAATATAGGAGGACCCCAAGAATACTTGACATTAAGAAAATTAACAATCCATACCACCACTGCCACAAACTTCTACAGCCTAGGCCACTAAGAAACCCACAGTTACTGCTGACATTAATTACAGCTGAAGAAGCCTCATGGACCCTATTCCATTACACTTATCTGTAAACAAAATTACCACGCCCTTCCCAACTGGTACACTAAAGCCCAACTGCAGGTGAAAGTATTTCTCTATGAAAACTATTCTACAAGATGTGGAAGAGGTGATTGTTCCAACAGGTGTATGGATCAATGCAGGGACACAAGAAACATGAAAAAGGAAGGGAATATGTCACCACCAAAGGAACACAAGTCTTTAGTAAAAGAACCCAATGAAAAGGAAATCAATGAATTTCCAGAAGAATAATTCAATGTAATGATACTAAGGTAACCCAATGAAGTAAAAGATAATACAGTAGATAATTCAGTGAAATCAGACAAAGAATTCATAATATGAATAAGAAATTTAACAAAGAGAAATCACTAAAATGAATCAAACAGTTTCTTCAACTGAAGAATTTGATTAATTAATTGAAAAGTACAGTACAGGCCTTCAAGGAGAGACTTGATCAAGCAGAACAAAGAATCTCAGAACTTGAAGACGGGTTGTTTGAAATATTTTCTGCAGAAAAAAATAAATATAACAAAGGCTACAGTACTTATGGAACACCATTAGGCAAAAAAATATTCATATTATGGGCTTTCCAGAAGGAGAAGAGAAGGGAAAAGCATAGAAAACCTATTAATGAAATAATAGCTGAAAACTTCCCAAGGCTGTGGAGAGATATGGACATCTGGATCCAGGAAGTTCAAACATCCCCAATGAGACTTAACCCAAACAGGTCTTTTCTGAGGTATATTACAGACAAATTTTCAAAAGTCAAAGACAAAGAGAAAATTCTAAAGCTAGCCAGAGGTAAGCAGCAAGTCACATATAAAAGAATCTGTAATTAGACCAACAGCATTTCTCTGCAGAAACCTTATAGAACAGGAGAGAATGGTCAAAGTACCAAAAGAAGAAAAACAATATCAGCCAAGAATACTATACCCAGCAACACTCTCCTTCAGAAATGAGGGAGAAAGAGTTTTCCCCAGACAAACACAAACTGAGAAAATTCATGACCACTCTATCAACCCTACAGAAATGCTCAAGAGAGTCCTATATTTGAAAGCAAAATACAATAATTGCTATCATGAGAGCACATAAAAATACAAAACTCACTGGTGGAGCAGATACACGAAGGAGAAATGGAAAAAGCATCAAACCTTATCACTAGAGAAAACTACCAAACCACAATAATAAGAGAAAAACAGGAGCAAAAGGATATACAAAACCACCAGAAAACAAATAACAAAGTGACAGGAGTAAGTCCTTAACTGGCAATAATAACCATGAATCTAAATGGATTCCATTTCCCACTTAAAAGATAAAGACAT
This sequence comes from Homo sapiens, assembly GCF_000001405.40. NCBI lineage: Eukaryota > Metazoa > Chordata > Mammalia > Primates > Hominidae > Homo > Homo sapiens. The sequence goes on along the minus strand of NC_000004.12, from coordinate 129,059,235 downwards.
GCTGAATGGATAAAAAGCTGTCACCCAGTTATATGCTGCCTACAACAAACTCACTTCACCTGTAAACATACATATGGATGGAAAGAGAAGGCATGGGAAAAGATACTCTACTCAAATGAAAACAAAAACCAAACAAAGGTGGCTATTCTTATATGAGATAATACAGACATTAAATCAAAAACTGGAAACAAACACAAAGTCATTGTATAATGATGAATTCAATTATATCATGATGAATTCAATTATATCCTCCTTCCTGATCAATTCAGAAAGGAGGATATAATCTTTTTAAATATATATACACCCAACACCAGAGCATATAAATATGTAAAGGAAGATAAAGGGAGTCCTGTGATCAAGAATAAATATAACAATTATAAATATTTTATCTAAAGTGATAGATAGACTGTAATACAATAATAGGTGGTGACATTAACACCCCACTCTCAGCATTGGACTGATCATCTAGACAGAAAAACAATAAACATTAGATTTAAACTATAGACCAAATGGATCTCACATACATTTATATAAATTTTTATTCAACAACTGAAGAATACATGCTATTTTCATCAACACATGGAACATTCTCCATGAGATATCATATTAGGCCACAAAACAAGTCTCAACAAAATTAAAACGATTAAAATATTTCAACTATTGTTTGTGACCACAGTGGAATAAAACTATAATTCAGTAACAAGAGGAACATTAGAAACTGTACATATACATGGAAATTAAACAACATGCTCTTGAATGACCAATAGGTCAATGAAGAAATTAAGAAGGAAATTTGAAAATTTCTTGAAACAAGTGAAAATGGAAACACAGTATACCAAAAACAATGGGATACAGCAAAAGAGGTAAATTTATAACAATAAATGCCTACATCAAAAAAAATAGAAAGACTTCAATTAACCTAATGAAACATCTGAAGGAACTAGAAAGGCAAGAACAAATCAAACACAAAAAATAGTATAGGGAAAGAAATAATAAATGTCAGAGTAGAAATGGACAAAATTGGCACTAAAAAACCAATACAAAAGATCAACAAAATGAAAAATTCATTATTTGAGAAGATAAACAACAAACCATGGCAAAATAACCAAGGAAAAAGTGAAAAGATCCAAATAAAGTCAGAAGTGAAAAAACGAGACATTATGATACCACAGAAACACAAGGGATTGGGCCAGGCATGATGGCTCATGCCTGTAATCCCAGCACTTTGGGAGGCCAAAGTGGGTGGATCACCTGATGCCAGTTCAGGAGCAGCCTGGCCAACATGGTGAAACCCCGTCTTTACTAAAAATACAAAAATTAGCCAGGCGTGGTGGTGGGTGCCTGTAATTTCAGTTACTTGGATGACTGAGGCACAAGAATCACTTGAACCTGGGAGGTAGAGGTTGCAGTGAGTCGAGATCATGCCACTGCACTCCAGCCTGGGCGACAGAGCAAGACTCCCTCTCAAAAAAAAAGAAAAAAAAAAGAAATACAAATACAAAGGATCAATAGGACTATTGTGAACAATTATATGTCAATAAATTAGAAAACCTAGCAATAATGGATAAATTCCCAGAACCCTCCAAGATTAAATGTAGAAGAAATAGAAAACCTGAACAGACCAATTATGAGAAATGAGAATGAGTCTGTAACAAAAAGTCTTAAAAAAAAAAAAAAAACTAGCTCAGGACCTGATGGCTTCACTGCTGAATTCTACCAAAACATTTAAAGAATAATATTAATTCTTATTAGCTGGGCATGATGGCGCACGCCTGTAGTCCTAGCTACTTGGGAGGCTGAGAGTCATCAAAAAAAAAAAAAAAAAAGAATAATATTAATTCTTCTAAAATTATTTCAGAAAACCAAAGGTTAGGTGATTCTTCCAAATGTATCCCACAAGGCCAGCATTACCTGATACCAAAACCTAACAAAGGCACAATAAAAGGAAATTATAGGTTAATATCTCTGATGAATATAGATTGAAAATTCTTCAACAAAATAATTGGAAAAAGAATCCAGCAGCATATTAAAAGGATTATTTACCATTATCAAGTGGGATCAAGAGATGTGAGGATAGTTCAACATACACAAGTCAGTAAACTTGATACATCACATCTAAGAATGAAGAACAAAAACCATACGATAATCTCAATAGATCCAAAAAAAGCAAGCGATAAAATTCAACATATCTTCTTGATTTAAAAAAACGTTCAACACATTAGGTGTAAAAGTAATGTATCTCAGCCCAATTAAGACCATATATGACAAACCCACAGCCAGCATTATTCTGACAGCGTAAAAGTTGAAAGTTTTTTCTTCCTAAGATTTGGAACAACACCAGGATGCCCACATTCACCATTTGTATTCAACTTAGTATGGGAGTCCTAGCTAGAGCACTTAGGCAAGAGAAAGAAATTAAAGCGCATCCAAATTGGAAAGGAGGAAGTTGTCCCTGTTTGCAGATGACATCATCTTATATATAGGAACATGTAAAACCTCCACCAAAACACTCTTAGAACTGATCAACAAATTAAGTAAAGTTGCAGAATACAAAATCAACATGCAAAAGTTAGTATTGTTTCTATACACTAAAATAAACTAGTGGGAGAAAAAAATCAAGAAAGCAATCTCATTTACAATAGCTACTGAAAATTAGGAAAATATCTAAGAATAAATTTACCAAGGTGGTGAAAGATTTCTATAAGTAAATATATAAATGTTGACAGAAATTGAAAATGATCCAAATAGAAATACATACCATGTTCATGGATTTGAAGAACAAAGCTGGAGGCATCACTCCACCTGACTTCAAAATATACTATAAAGCTATAGTAACCAAAACAGCATGGTACTGCCATAAAAATAGACACATAGACCAATGGAATGCAATAAAGAATCAAAATTTACAGCCAACTGAATTTCAAAAAAGGTGCCAAGAACATTCACTGGGGATTGGACAGTCTCTTTAAGAAATAGTACTGGCAGATAGACATTGGCAAGATGGCCAAATAGGAACAGCTCCAGTCTGCAGCTCCCAGCGAGACCAATGCAGAAGGTGGGTGATTTCTGCATTTCCAACTGAGGTAAACTGTTCATCTCATTGGGACTGGTTAGGCAGTGGTTGCAGACCATGGAGAGTGAGCAGAAGCAGGGTGGAGCATCACCTCACCCGTGAAGTGCAAGCAGCCGGGGTCTCCCTCCCACAGCCAAGGGAAGCCATGAGGGACTGTGCTATTCGGCCCAGATACTATGCTTTTCCCACGGTTTCTGCAATCTGCAGATCAGGAGATTCCCTTGTTGCCTACACCACCAGGACTTTGAATTTCAAGGACAGCACTGGGTGGATGTTTGGGCAGACACCAAGCTAGCTGCAGGAGTTTTGTTTGTTTGTTTGTTTGTTTTTGTTTTTTTTTTTTTATGCCAGTGGCGCCTGGAACCCCAGCGAGACAGAATTACTCACTCCCCTGGAAAGGGAGCTGAAGCCAGAGAGCCAAGTGGTCTTGCTCAGTGAGTCCCACTCCCATGGAGACCAGCAAGCTAAGAACCACTGGCTTGAAATTCTTGCTGCCAACACAGAAGTCTGAAGTCCACCTGGGATGAACGAGCTTGGTTGGGGGAGGGGCATCCACCATTACTGAGACTTGAGTAGGCAGTTTTCCCGTCACTGCTAAGGAGGCTGGGAAGGTCAGACTGGGCAGAACTCAACACAATGCAGCAAAGAGGCTGTGGCCAGAATGCCTCTCTAGATTCATGTTCATAGGGTATCTCTGAAAGAAAGGCAGCAGCCCCAGTTAGGGGCTTATAGATAAAACTCCCATCCCCCTGGGACAGAGCACCTGAGAGAAGGGGCGAATGTGGTTGTAGCTTCAGTGGAATTAAACGATCTTGCCTGATGGCTCTGAAGAGTGCAGCAGATCCTGACAAGCAGGATCCTCCCAGCACAGCACTAGAGCTCTGTTAAGGGACTGAGTGCCTCCTCCAGTGAGTCCCTAACCCCCATGCCTCCTGACTGGGAAAGATCTCCCAACAAGGGTTGACTGACTCCTCATACAGGAGAGCTCCAGCTGGCATTAGGCCAGTGCCCCTCTGGGATGAAGCTTCCAGAGGAAGGAGCAGGCAGCCATCTTTGCTGTTCTGCAGCCTCTGCTAATGATACAATACCCAGGAAAACAAGGTCTGGAGTGGACCTCCAGCAAACTGCAGCAGACCTGTAGAAGAGGGGACTGACTGTTAGAAGAAAAGCTAAAAAACGGAAACCAGTAACATCAACATCAACAAAAAGGACCCCAACACAAAAACCCCACCCAAAGGTCATCAGCCTCAAAGATCAAATCCACCACGTAGATAAATCCATGATGATGAGGAAAAACCAGTGCAAAAATGTTGAAAAATCCAAAAACCAGAATTCCTCTTCACCACATAATCACAACTCCTCTCCTTTCTGCAAGGGCAGAGAACTGGACAGAGTATGAATCTGACAAATTGACAGAAGTAGGCTTCAGAGGGTGGGTAATAAACTCCTCTGAGCTAAAGGAGCATGTTCTAACCCACTGCAAGGAAGCTCAGAACCTTCATAAAAAGGTTACAGGAGCTGCTAACTATAATAACCAGTTTAGAGAAGAACGTAAATGACCTGACAGAGCTGAAAAACACAACACAAGAACTTTGTAAAGCATACGTAACTATCAATAGCTGAATCGATCAAGCGGAAGAAAGGATATCAGAGATTGAAAATCAACTTACTGAAATAAGGCATAGAGACAAGATTAGAGAAAACAGAATGAAAAGCAAGGACCAAAGCCTCCAAGAAATATGGGACTATGTGAAAAGGCCAAATCTACGTTTGATTGGTGTACCTGAAAGTGACGGAGAAAATGGAACCAACTTGGAAAACACTCTTCAGGATATTATCCAGGAGAACTTCTCCAACCTAGCAAGGCAGGCCAACACTCAAATTCAGGAAATACAGAGAACACCACAAAGATACTCCTCGAGAAAAGCAACCCCAAGACACATAATCATCAGATTCATCAAGGTTGAAATGAAGGAAAATATGTTAAGGGCAGCCAGAGAGAAAAGTCGGGTTACCCACAAAGGGAAGCCCATTAGACTAACAGCGAATCTCTTGGCAGAAACGCTAGAAGCCAGAAGAGAGTGGGGGCCAATATCCAACAATCTCAAAGAATTTTCAACCCAGAATTTTATATCCAGCCAAACTAAACTTCATAAGCGAAGGAGAAATAAAACCCGTTACAGACAAGGAAATGCTGAGGGATTTTGTCACCACCAGGCCTGCCTTAGAAGAACTCCTGAAGGAAGCACTAAATATGGAAAGGAAAAACTGGTGACAGGCACTGCAAAAACATACCAAATTGTAAAGACCATTGACACTATGAAGAAACTGCATCAACTAATGGGCAAAATAACCAGCTAGCATCATGATGACAGGATCAAATTCACACATGACAATATTAACCTTAAACGTAAATGGGCTAAATGCCCCAATTAAAAGACACAGACTGGCAAATTGGATAAGGAGTCAAGACCCATCAGTCCGCTGTCTTCAGGAGACCCACTCACATGCAAAGACACACACAGGCTCAAAATAAAGGGATGGGGGAATATTTACCAAGCAAATGGAAAGCAAAAAAAAAAAAAAAAAAAAAAAAAAAAAAAAATCAGGGATTGCAATCCTAGTCTCTAATAAAACAGACTTTAAACCAACAAAGGTCAAAAGAGATAAAGAAGGGCATTACATAATGTTAAAGGGATCAATGCATTAAGAAGTGCTGACTATCCTAAATATATATACACCCAATACAGGAGGACCCAGATTTATAAAGCAGGTTCTTAGAGACTTACAAAGAGACTTACACTCCCACACAACAATAGTGGGAGACTTTAACACCCCACTGTCAATATTAGACAGATCGATAAGACAGAAAATTAACAAGAATATCCTGGACTTGAAACTCAGCTCTGGACCATGGAGACCTAATAGACATCTACAGAACTCTCCACCCAAAATCAACAGAATATATGTTATTCTCAGCACCACATCACACTCATTCTGAAATTGACCACAAAATTGGAAGTAAAACACTCCTCAGCAAATTCAAAAGAATGGAAATCATAACAAACAGTCTCTCAGAACACAGTGCAATCGAATTAGAACTCAGGATCAAGAAACTCACTCAAAACCACACAGCTATATGGAAACTGAACAACCTGCTCTTGAATGACTACTGGGTAAATAACGAAATGAAGGCAGAAATAAAGATGTTCTTTGAAACCAGTGAGAACAAAGACACAACGTACCAGAATCTCTTGGACATATTTAAACAGTGTGTAGAGGGAAATTTATAGCACCAAATGCCCACAAGAGTAAGCAAGAAAAATGTAAAATTGACACCCTAACATAGCAATTAAAAGAACTAGAGAAGCAAGAGCAAACAAATGCAAAAGCTAGCAGAAGACAAGAAATAACTAAGATCAGAGCAGAGCTGAAGGAGATAGAGACACAAAAAACCCTTCAAAAAATTAATAAGTCTAGGAGCTAATTTTTCTAAAAGATCAATGATTTAGATAGACTGCTAGCCAAACTAATAAAGAAGAAAAGAGAGAAGAATCAAATAGATACAATAAAAAATGATAAAGGGGATATCACCACCAATCCCACAGAAACCAAAAACTACCATGAGAGAATACTATAAACATCTCTATACAAAAAAAAAAATTGAAAATCTAGAAGAAATGAATGAATTCCTGAACACATACACCCTCCCAAGAATAATCCAGGAAGAAGTCAAATCCCTGAATAGACCAAAAACAAATTCTGACATTGAGGCAGTAATTAATAGCCTACCAACCAAAAAAAGTCCAGGACCAGATGGATTCACAGCCGGATTCTACCAGAGGTACAAAGAGGAGCTGGTACAATTCCTTCTGAAGCTATTTCAAACAATAGAAAAAGAGGGTATCCTCCCTAACTCATTTTATGAGGCCAACATCATTCTGATACCAAAACCTGGCAGAGATACAACAAAAAAAGAAAATTTCAGTCCATTATCCCTGATGAACATCAATGTGAAATTCCTCAATAAAATATTGGCAAACAGAATTCAGCTGCACATCAAAAAGTTTATCTACCATCAAGTCAGCTTCATCCCTTGGATGCAAGGCGGGTTTAACATATGCAAATCAATAAACATAATCCATCACATAAACAGAAGCAGTGACAAAAACCACACGATTATCTCAATAGATGCAAAAAAAAGCCTTCGACAAAATTCAACAGGCCTCCATGCTAAAAACTCTCAATAAGCTAGGTATTGATGGAACATATCTCAAAACAATAGGAGCTATTTATGACAAACCCACAGCCAACGTCATACCAAATGGGCAACAACTGGAAGCATTCCCTTTGAAAACCGACACGTGACAAGGATGCCCTCTCTCACCACTCCTATTCAACATAGTATTGGAAGTTCTGGCCAGGGCAATCAGGCAAGAGAAAGAAAGAAAGGATGTTCAATTAGGAAAAGAGGAAGTCATATTGTCTCTGTTTGGAGATGACATGATTATATATTTAGAAAACCCCATCGTCTCAGCCCAAAATCTCTTTAAGCTGATAAGCAACTTCAGCAAAGTCTCAGGATACAAAATCAATGTGCAAAAATCCAAGCATTCCTCTACACCAATAGCAGACCAATAGAGAGCCAAATCATAAGTGAACTCCCATTCACAATTGTTATAAAGAGAATAAAATACCTAGGAATACAACTTACAAGGGATGTAAAGAACCTCTTCAAGGAGAACTACAAACCACTGCTCAAGGAAATAAGAGAGGACACAAACCAATGGAAAAACATTCCATGCTCATGGATAGGAAGAATCAATATTGTGAAAATGGCCATGCTGTGCAAAGTAATTTATAGATTCAGTGCTATTCCCCTCAAGCTACCATTGACTGTCTAAACAGAACTAGAAAAAAACTACTTTAAATTTCATGTGGAACCAAAAAAGAGCCTGTATAGCCAAGACAATCCTAAGCAAAAAGAACAAAGTTGGAGGCATCATGCTACCTGACTTCAAACTATACTACATTGCTACACTAACCAAAACAGGATGGTACTGGTACCAAAACAGATGTATAGACCAATGGAACAGAACAGAGGCCTCAGAAATAACACCACACATCTACAACCATCTGATCTTCAATAAACCTGACAAAAACAAGTAATGGGGAAAAGATTCCCTATTTAATTAATGGTGCTGGGAATACTGGCTAGCCACAAGCAGAAAACAGAAACTGGACCCCCTCCCTACACCTTATACAAAAATTATCTCATGATGGTTTAAAGATTTAAAAGCCAAAACCATAAAAAGCCCAGTAGAAAACCTAGACAGCACCATTCAGGACATAGGCATGGGCAAAGACTTCATGACTAAAACACCAAAAGCAATTACAACAAAAGCCAAAATTGACAAATGGGATCCAATTAAACTAAAGAGCTTCTGCATAGCAAAAGCAACTATCATCAGAGTGAACAGGCAACCTACAGAATGGGAGAATATTTTTGCAAGCTACCCATCTGACAGAGGTCTAATATCCACAGTCTACAAGGAACTTAAACAAATTTACAAGAAAAAAATGACCCCATCAAAAAATGGGTGAAGGGTAACAACAGACACTTCTCAAAAAAGACATTTATGCTGCCAACAAACATGAAGAAAAAGCTCCTCGTCACTGGTCATTAGAGAAATGCAAATCAGAACCAAATGAGATACCATGTGACACCAGTTAGAATGGCGATCATTAAAAAGTCAAGAAACAATAGATGCTGGCAAGTTTGTGTATAAATAGGAATGCTTTTACACTGCTGGTGGGAGTGTAAATTAGTTCAACCATTGTGGAAGACAGTGTGGCAATTCCTCAAGGATCTAGAACCAGAAATTCCATTTGACCCAGCAATCCAATTACTGTGTATATACCTAAAGTATTATAAATTATTCTATAAAGACACATGCACACGTATGTTTATTGAAGCACTATTTACAATAGCAAAGACTTGGAACCAACCCAAATGCCTATCAATGATAGACTGGATAAAGAAAATGGGGCACATATACACCACGGAATACTATGCAGCCATAAAAAAGAATGAGTTCATGTGCTTTGCAGGGACATGGATGAAGTTGGAAAGCATTCTCCTCAGCAAACTAACACAGGAACAGAAAAGCAAATACTGCATGTTTTCACTCATAAGTGGGAGTTGAACAATGACAACACAGGGACACAAGGAGGGGAACATCACACACCAGGGCCTGTCTGTGGGTGGCATGTAAGGGGAAGGAGAGCATTAGGACAAATACCTAATGCATGCAGGGTTAAAACCTAGATGATGGGTTGATAGGTGCAGCAAACCACCATGGCACATGTATACCTATGTAACAAACCTGAACGTTCTGCACATGTATCCCAGAACTTAAAATAAAAATAAAAATTAAAAAACTGCCAACTGCAAATAAAAAAAAAAGAAATAGTGCTGGAAAAACTGTATATCCATATGCCAAAAATAAATCACCCCGTCTCTTTTTTTTTTTTTTATACTTTAAGTTTTAGGGTACATGTGCACAATGTGCAGGTTAGTTACGTATGTATACATGTGCCATGCTCGTGTGCTGCACACATTAACTCGTCATTTAGCGTTAGGTGTATCTCCTAATGCTATCCCTCCCCCCTCCCCCCACCCCACAACAGTCCCCAGAGTGTGATGTTCCCCTTCCTGTGTCCATGTGTTCTCATTGTTCAATTCCCATCTATGAGTGAGAACATGCGGTGTTTGGTTTTTTGTCCTTGCGATAGTTTGCTGAGAATGATGATTTCCAATTTCATCCATGTCCTACAAAGGACGTGAACTCATCATTTTTTATGGCTGCATAGTATTCCATGGTGTATATGTGCCACATTTTCTTAATCCAGTCTATCATTGTTGGACATTTGGGTTGGTTCCAAGTCTTTGCTATTGTGAATAATGCCGCAGTAAACATACGTGTGCATGTGTCTTTATAGCAGCATGATTTATAGTCCTTTGGGTATATACCCAGTAATGCGATGGCTGGGTCAAATGGTATTTCTAGTTCTAGATCCCTGAGGAATCGCCACACTGACTTCCACAATGGTTGAACTAGTTTACAGTCCCACCAACAGTGTCAAAGTGTTCCTATTTCTCCACATCCTCTCCAGCACCTGTTGTTTCCTGGCTTTTTAATGATTGCCATTCTAACTGGTTTGAGATGGTATCTCATTGTGGTTTTGATTTGCATTTCTCTGATGGCCAGTGATGATGAGCATTTTTTCATGTGTCTTTTGGCTGCATAAATGTCTTCTTTTGAGAAGTGTCTGTTCATATCCTTTGCCCACTTTTTGATGGGGTTATTTGTTTTTTTCTTGTAAATTTGTTTGAGTTCATTGTAGATTCTGGATATTAGGCCTTTGTCAGATGAGTAGGTTGCGAAAATTTTCTCCCATTTTGTAGGTTGCCTGTTCACTGTGAGGGTAGTTTCTTTTGCTATGCAGAAGCTCTTTAGTTTAATTAGATCCCATTTGTCAATTTTGTCTTTTGTTGCCATTGCTTTTGGTGTTTTAGACATGAAGTCCTTGCCCATGCCTATGTCCTGAATGGTAATGCCTAGGTTTTCTTCTAGGGTTTTTATGGTTTTAGGTCTAACATTTAAGTCTTTAATCCATCTTGAGTTAATTTTTGTATAAGGTGTAAGGAAGGGATCCAGTTTCAGCTTTCTACATATGGCTAGCCAGTTTTCCCAGCACCATTTATTAAATAGGGAATCCTTTCCCCATTGCTTGTTTTTCTCAGGTTTGTCAAAGATCAGATAGTTGTAGATATGTGGTGTTATTTCTGAGGGCTCTGTTCTGTTCCATTGATCTATATCTCTGTTTTGGTACCAGTACCATGCTGTTTTGGTTTCTGTAGCCTTGTAGTATAGTTTTAAGTCAGGTAGCGTGATGCCTCCAGCTTTGTTCTTTTGGCTTAGGATTGACTTGGTGATGCGGGCCCTTTTACAAAAATCAACACAAAATGGACTAAAAAATGTAACACCCAACACTATGAAACTGGTGGACAAAAACATAAATGTTTCAGTACATTTTTCTGGGTAAAGGTTTTATGGAGAAGACCTCAAAGGCATAAGCAAGAAAGGCAAATATAGACAAATGGGATTATATCAATCTTAAAAGCTTCTGTATTGTTCAGGAAACAATCAACAGAATGAAGAGGAATCTGGCAAAATGGGAGAGAGTATTTGAAAACTATTTATCTGACAAGAGATGAATGTCCAGAATATATAAGGAACTCAAACAATTCAACAGTTAAAAGAAGAATCTAATTAAAAAAGGAGCAAATGAGCTGAATAGACATCTCTAAAAGAAGACATACAACTGGCCAAGAAGTATATGAAAAAATGCTAAACATAAGTAATCATTAGAGAAATGCAAATCAAAACCATAGTGAGATCCCATATCACCCCTGTTTTAATGACTTTTATCCTAAAGACAGGCAATAATGGATGCTGGTGAGGATGTGGAGAAAGGGGAACCCTCCTACACTGTTGGTAGAAATGTACATTAGTTTAGCCACTGTGGAGAGCAGTATGGAAGTCCTCAAAAAATTAAAACTAGAACTATTTTGTTTTCAAAATTTATATGAAAAGGGACAAGAAGAGCTAAGACAATCTTGCAGAACAACTGCACTTGGAAACAGATACTACCAGGTCTTAATATTTACTGTAAAGCTATAGTAATTTGGTTAGTATGGTATTGGCCAAGGAAGCAAGCCAGTTAAACAGAATAAAGTTTGGAAATAGCTCTACACATACCAGACTTTCATATAGAATAAAGAAAAATAAATTTTGATCTCTACCCAAACTACTCTCATATGTAATTTCTGCATTGATTGCATATCTAAATGTTAAGGTAAAGCTTTTAGAACAAAACTTGAGGGAAGAAGTTATGAGCTTATAATAGGCAGGATGGCTTAAACAGCACATAAGCACTAATCATAAACGAAATAACTGATAAACTGGGCTACTTCAAAGTGAAAGAACTTATGTTTTTAAGACATCATTAAGAAAGTAAAAAGACAAGCTATGGAATGGAGAATATATTTGTAATCTTGCAAAAATCTAGAATATATGAAGAATGTCTTCAAATTAATAACTAAAACAATTACCCATTAGAGAAACAGGTCACTTCACAAAAGAGGGTATTTAAAATGCTTTGTAACTGTAGAAAAGACTGTTCAACTTCATTATTTATCAGGTAAATGGAAATTCAAACCACAATGAAATACTACTATATCCACTGGCTAGAGTGAAAAGCATAGTTCCAAGTGTTGACAAAGATGTGGAATAGCTCTCATATACTGCCTGTGGGAGAGTAAATGGGTAAGATTACTTCAGAAAATTGTTTGACATTTTCTTCTAGATCTGACTGATACAGACCTTATGAGTCATCAACTCTACCTATAGGTATACCCATCAGAAATGCCTATACCAATAAGACTTTTTCAAGAATGTTTGTAGCAGCACTGTTTATAATAGTCAAATAATGAACAACCCAAATACTTCATTTAATAATAGAAAGCATAAATATATTGTGGCATACTTGTAAAGTGAAATAGTATATGTCAGTAAGAATGAACTAACCAAAATTACTCACAGCAGTAAGAATGAATCTCACAAACCCAGTGATAAGCAAAAGAAGCCAGACATAACAGAAAATATACTGTGTGGTTATATTTTTATAATGTTTTTAAAATAGGGAAAATGATTTCCTGCTGTTAGAAGTCAGGATTTGGGTCCCACATGGAGCCTGGGGGTAGTGACTTAGGGGTTTGGGGGTTGTTGGTCATATACATAGTTCTCACTTTTTGCAGTACCATGTTAACTGAAACTTGTGTGTATCAGAACTGTCCTTACTTGGATTTGATGTTTCCACAGAACTGTGCAAAATGAAGACACGTATACCAATATGCAAAGTGAAGAGTACTTGTATTCTGTTGCTTGATTTGAGTTCTGGTTACATGAGTATATTCACCTTGTGAGAATTATTTAGCTGTATACTTATAATTTGTACTGTCTTCTGTATGTGTGTAGTACTTGAATAAAAACAGTATTGATTATCTTCCTTTCATCTACTCATTCTTACCATTCTATGCCTCTTTCATGGTATGTCTTTATTATTATTATTGTTCCTTGCTTATTTGCCTCTCTCTTCCTATAACTCTACAATCCATCCAATGGATAAGGACTATAAATTGTTTGTTCATCTTTGTATTATTTACTGTACCTCCCATGGGCCCTTACACATAGTAGGTAAATAAGTATTTACAGAGTAAGATGTTAAAAATTAATTAAGTGAAAGTTTAGAATTCAGAGGCTTCTTTGAGTTATATTTTTAAATTACTCTTTAATATGTATGTGATCATAAATACTTTCTCCCTTCAAAAAGCCAGAACATTACAGATGCTTTTAGTGATCCCTTTGAGCACCTTTCTTCTCTGTCCTATTTTCTTCTTTCCACCCCTAGAAATAACTTCTTTGTTTTTTATGATATATATATTTTGATACATGTGAATTTAATTAATTTCTTGAACTACTTATGGGATTCTATTGTATCATTTTTTATTTATTCTGTTAAAAGACATTTTGTTAGCTATGTTTTATAGTAAAGGCACCACTGAAAAACCTCTTACATCTTGTGTTTAAATGTTTCTCCATATGCCATAGATACAAAATTTCTGGTCATGTTACGAATGCTGTAGGTCTTTTAACTTTGCTTTTGGTGTCTTTAGCTGTATAGAAGTTTTAAATTTGGATGTTGTAAAATGTGTCAGTCTTTCCATTTATAGGTTTTGCTCCTGGTGTCTTCCAGTTAACAAATGTAATTTGAGCAAAAAAGTATGGCAGGCGCTGCTTGGGATATTTGCAAACAAAACAGACAAAAATTTCTGCATTTGTGACGTTAAGAAAGCATTGTCTAACTCAAGGTCAATAATGCATTTTCTTGCAATAATTGTTAAAATTTTAACAACATTTGGATTTTTATCTGTATTTTTCCATTTAGTATGTGCTAGCAGCTAATTTTGTTTTGCTATCCAGTACTATTTGTTGGATAGCAGTATTGTGTCCATTCAATTATAATTCTTCTTCTTTTATATACCACATACCTATAAATGCTTGAATCTATTTCTGGGTTTGTTATACTGTTGTGTTTGTTACTGTACCTATAGCATACTGTTTAAATTGCTATAGCATTGTGGTGTTTTGCTATGTAGTAACCAAGTTCTTCCCTCTTTCTTTTTTCTTTTCCTTTTTTTTTTTTTTTTGGTGAGATTATCTTGGCTAATTTTTCATACTTATTCATGGAACTTTAGGATTTATTTAAGATCAAGTTTTATAAATAATTCTATTGGAACTTCATTTTTGAGTGCAATGAAGTTGTAGTGAATTTTAGAGAGCTGACATTCTCAAAATATTGACCATTCCACACATACATTAATGTTATAGTACCATGTTTGTTTAGATTTCCTTTTATATCCTTTAGTAAAGCTAATTTTCTCAATAAGCTCCTGTACCATTTTTTGTTTGCTTTATTCCCAGATATTGTTTATCATAGTAGTGAATAGGATTTTTTTTGATTACATTTTCTAATTATTGCTGGTATTTGAAAAAGCTACTGATTTTTTTTTTAAGTGTTCATCTTCTGTCTGGTGACTTTTCGTGTATTATCTTACTAGTTCTAATAATTGGTAGATTATACTGAGTTTTTAGGTAAATGGCCAAATTGTAAATAATAATAGCCTTCCATCTTGCTTTTCAACCTTTAAATTATAATTGATGTAGATTTCTGGCAGATATTTTTATCAAATTAAGAAAAAATCCTCAAATTTCTAATTTGCCAGTGGTTTTTATTGTGCATGGGTATTAAATTTACCAAATGCATTTCAGTATAAATTGAGATTATTATTTTTTTCTCTCATTTTGAATTACATAAATAGAGTTTCTAAGATTATGAAAATTTAATTGCATTTAATATTATATCACTATCAATTTTGGCTAGAATGATGTGAGAACACATTTTAAGATGTACATTCTTTTATAGAAAGCTGTCTGCCAAGGAGAAGGAGACGACACATTTGAAAACCTAGTATTTGACCAAAGGTAAAGTATTACCAGAATAATATCATTTTCTTCGTTATATTTAATTATTATTAGCATAATTCAGTATCAGGAATGTTTGTTTTATGGTCTGCTGTTATTAAACTTAAATGCTTTGTTCTTGAATTGACAAGAAAAAGCAAGTATTACAGAGTCTACAAAATTAGTTCTCAGACAGGAGCAACTTTACCCCTGTTTCCCCAGGAGATATTTGGCAATGTCTAGAAACATTTTTGTTTGTCACTACTATGGAAAGTGAGGCTGCTGCTGCCATCTAATGGGTAGAGGCCAAGTATGCTGTTAAACATCCTTCATTGCACAGTCTAGCCATCCCACAACAAAGAATTTTTCAGTCCAAAATATTAATTGTGCAAATATTTAAAATTCCTGGTTTTGGAAAAAAGGGAAAAGTTTTTATTGCATGAGTAAACTAAACATAAAATTTTTATGTGTAATTTATTTCACTTGTTATATATTTATTAAACTAGATGGAACAGAATATGCTATATTTTTATTGTCTTTTTTTAGCTTTTTAGCTCCTCTTGTTACTGAGTATGATAAACACCTAGGAGAACTAAATGGGCAGCTGAAATATTACCAGGTATGAAATCATAGTTATGAGGCTTTTGTAATATTTTATTATGAAAATAAAAAGTAAAATAGACTCCCTCTTTTTAAAAAGACATTGATGAGAAAGAGAATATTTGCTGTAACTAACCAATTGGTGGCCCTATGTAAATGTGTGTGAATGTATATATGTGCATATGTTTAAAGATTCTCTTCTAGCTGGGTGCGGTGGCTTATGCCTATAATCCCAGCACTTTGGGAGGCTGAGACAGGAAGATCATTTGTGCCTAGAAGCTTGAGACCAGCCTGGGTAACGTAGTGAGACCCCATCTCTTTTTTTTTTCTTTTCTTTTTTTTGAGATGGAATCTCACTCTGTCGCCAGGCTGGAATGCAGTGGCGCGATCTCGGCTCTCTGCAACCTCTGACTCCCTGGTTCAAGTGATTCTCCTGCCTCAGCCTCCCGAGTAGCTGGGATTACAGGCATGTGCCACCATGCCCAGCTGATTTTTGTGTTTTTAGTAGAGATGGAGTTTCACCATGTTGGCCAGGATGGTCTCGATCTCCTGACCTCGTGATCCGCCTGCCTCGGCCTCCCAAAGTGCTGGAATGAAGTTAGCTGGGTGTGGTGGTGTGCACCTGTGGTCCTAGCTACTCAGAAGGCTGAAGTGAGAGAATTGCTTGAGCAGCCTGGGAGGTCGAGGCTTTAGTGAGCTGTGGTCAAGCCACTGCACTCCAGCCTAGGCAACAGAACTGGACCTTGTCTCGAAGAAAAAAAATATTCTCTTCAGTTTTGTCTTTTAATTCAGTGTTTCCTTGCTCTTGCTATCTTGCATGAGATATTGCTTAGGTGCTTAGAAGAATCTCTTAATCTCATTATTGTTTGCTTACATCTCTCTTTTTTTAACCTAAAACTGTCTCGCATCCTTTCAGACCTTCCTCCTTACCTCATTCTATCTGCATCTCCCATTACTTGCAGAATGGATTATCATTTTGGGTCCCAGGGCTTATGGAGAACTAGAATAATAGCACAAAATTGTTTAGGGTACAATTTGAGTTTCAGTGAGCTACGTGTTTAGAGTATGCCTAATATTTATAATGTGTTTCTTTGATCTGAAAATGTCTTTTAACATTTTCCCCTAGAATTTTGACCTAATACTGGGATAACCATATAATAGAAGTATTTCTTAAATAGAACTTATATGACTCAAGCTAAACCTATCAGGAGGCAATGACCTCTCTCTATTAGAGCTTGAATATACTCATGATTGGATTTGGTTTAGATACCAATTCCTGGATAAATGCAGTTGTAGCAAGGGTGGCAGGGTTGGCTTTCATTAATGCAAATGGAACAGAGTATAATGACTTTTTATTAAAGCAGCCTGGCCAGGTGTGGTAGCTCACGTCTGTAATCCCAGCACTTTGGGAGGACAAGGCGTGCAGATCACTTGCGGTCAGGAGTTCAAGACCAGCCTGGCCAACATAATGAAATCCCATCTCTACTAAAAATACAAAAATTAGCCAGGTGTGGTGGCACACACCAGTAATCCCAGCTACTTGGGAGGCTGAGGCAGGAAAAATCACTTGAACTTGGGAGGCAGAGGCTGCAGTGAGCCGAGATCGTGCCACTGCACTCCAGCCTGGGCAACAGAGTGAGACTCTGTCTCAGAAAAATAAATAAATAAAATATATTAAAGCAACCCCTGAGACCGATTTCCTCAGAATCAGCCTGTGTGTGTGGCAGACACTAAGCACTTTCTCCCTTACTTCCTTTTCTTTTTATGCACGGACATGAAGGGATCCTACTGTGTACTTTCAAGTGTAGCACATAGTAGGCCCTTAAATATTTAATGAATGATTAAATGCCAGGGCTTATGGGAATAAGATGATTAGAGCTAGCTTAACAAGCCCTTATTTATCAATTAATGCATTGATATGTAGCTTTACTAAAAGAACACATAATGCTTCCAATTTCTAAAAATAAAATTAGGTTCTTTCACTGCATTTGAAATTATGTAGGCTTTCATTTCCAAGGTTATTTCTCAAATACATAAACAAAGTTGTCCTTTAGACCCAAATGTCAAATAAAAGCATTTCATTAAAATTATAGTGTCTGTTTTATCATAAGGTCTTCCTGGTCTTTATTGTGTATTTTTTAGCCTGTAGTTATTTAAATTTAGGACAAGCACAGTAATGTCTTTTAATCTTCCTAGCTGACAATTAAAGAGCAACAGAAAGCTCTCTTTTGCACAAATGATATTTTGCTTTTGTTTTCAGGACTAGTGAATTTAAAGTTGCTGCTGAATTTACTCTCTCTAAATTCCTGTAATAACATATTATGTACTTTGGTTGTTATAGGATAGCTAATTATCTTGAAATTAAATTCATTTAAATTTTTTACAATCTGATTCATTTATTTCTTTAATCAGCCATTTTACTAAGATGTTTAACTTTGTTTTTCTATTTTGCATTCTTTACCGCCAAAGGTTGATCACTTAATTAATTACAAGAGAAAAATAAACTATGCTAGAAAGCCTGAGTCTTTGATGATAAAAATAATTGCTCCTTCTTTTAGAGAAAAAAAAATGTTGACAGCTAAGAATGGTTGCTCAGATAGATGTGATTGATTAGAAGGATTAGTTCTTATGACTTATTGACCTAGTCAAAAAATACTATATCTCCAAAGCAGGAAAAGTAGCACTGCAATTCTCTATATGGACGATTTTCTGCCAGAAAATATAAATAGTAGGGAAGAATTTGATGATGTGAGAAATACTGTATGGATTTCACTTCCTTCCAAATGTAAATATTTTGAAATATTTTACAGTAAGGAATTTATAGTGAGAGCGTTACAATCCATCTTTAGTCTTAGCTAGTGAATATATCTTACATAATTATTTAAGAGTAATAAATATTCTTTAAGATGCACTGATAGTTTTGCAACTTTTAAAGATCAGTTTATTGGCTGCAGTGGGCTGTGATCGTGCTCTCACACTCCACCTTAGGAGACAGAGTGAGACCCCATCTTAGGGGAAAAAATTATTTAAAAACTATAAAATTAAGATAATGGCTACAATAAATCCAAACCTCTTGCCATGGCATTCTTAAAACCCTGTACCTGTCTTTCCAATTTTATCTCTCACTGTATCAGTCCATATATGGTCAGTGCTCAATTATCTGGTAGTGAATTAATCCATGTTGGTTTAATTGTGTTTCAGGCATAACGAGGACCTTGGAAAAGTTCACCTTTCAAACCAAATTTATAGTTAGAATTTGCTATTCTGATCTCCTAGACCAAGCTTCCTTGATCTTCTCGGTTGAAAGAGAGAGAAAAAGGCTGGCAGAACTGCCTGTTCCACCTGGCCCTTGCGAAAGTGTACTCCAGGATAAGCTTCTCTCCTTTAGCTTAGGAAGCACAATCAAGACTAATACACAATCATGAATTAGTTACCGTTTTAAGTGAGATTTTGCATGCTTTTACATGTAAATTCAGGGTTTTGTGTGTGTGTGTGTGTGTGTGTGTGTGTGTGCGCGCGCGCACACTCTCCATTTGCTCATTCACACTTACTGAGAGTTGACTACTTATTTTTTGCTATTTTGCTTTTACTCATATTTTCGCCAACTTTAAATGCTTTCTTTTCTTTTGAAATCCTAACATCTTTTTACTCCTTCAGAGAACGTTAATCAGACCTTCATTTAATTCCCTTTCTGGTGTGCATTTTATTCTGCCTTGTATTTTAGTTAGGATTTTTTTTAACCATCTTTCCTACTATTTTTCAATGAGCATGTCTGTTTACCTTAGCGCCTTGTATGGTACGGAGAGTTTAGATAGTTAATGAAGGTGGTGAATCAGAAACTGAATGAATGACTGCTAAAAAAGACCTCCATTTTCTTCTTTACTGTTAGCATTTTACCTTTTGAAATACTAGAAAAATATACATACTTATATGGGCTTCACCTAAACTGAGGTGAATTAACTAAGATATACATTCAAGATACAGGAACCATCTGGTATTTGTTATAGTGACATACTCCAGAATATCTTTCATCTGTTTTTCACAACTACAAGTCATAGGAATTACATTTATAAACATTTCTCACCATGTTACATAAAATATTTCTATTTTATTTATATTCTACTTAAAATGAATGTTTTATTGTGTTCTGTTTATTAGTAAATTATCCATATTAATTATCCCTTTGTTATAAATAAAGAATAAGTCTTTCTTATCTGTAAACTAGTGTCAGAATCTGATTGCTTACGTGAGTGGTCTACTTAATGGAGATCTGATTGTCTGCAAAATGTATTGCCACACCATATTTTATTCTTTCAGAAACAGGTGGGTGAGATGAAATTACAACTTGAAAATGTCATCAAGGAAAATGAAAGGTAAATCAATTAACTATTGGTTTTATCTTTTATTATTGTCTTAGGTAACTTTTATTTTTGTTATTTGATATTTGATAGCTATAGTATTAATAGTTAAGAATGTGGACCCCGGGGCTGATTTTCTATTTGACTCCTGGCTCGATTACTTGTTAGCTGTGTGACCCTGGACAGGTTACTTCCCTTTCTGCTTTAGTGTCCTCTTCTATAAATCAGAGATAATAATAGAACCTATTTCATAGGGCTGACTGTAAGGGATAAAGTAAGTACTTGGAGTAGCATACAAAATAATCACCTTACCAATATTAGCAATCAATAATGTAGTATATAATATATATGTATGTTAGAAAACATATTGATAAAATGAAAACTTTTCAGCCTACCACTCAGCTTGAATGTTAAAATGTTGCCAGTGCTGGTGCATCTATCCATGTTTTTCTTCCATTTCCCATCCTTCTCTTTCTCTCTGCCAGAGATAAACACTATCTTGAATTTTGTGTTTATCATTCCCTTGCTTTTACAGTTTTTTTATAGGTATGTGTATCTCCAAGCGATATACTTTTTAGTTTTACATTTTTAAAGACTGTATAAAAACGGTATCATCTAGTGTTCTAGGACTTACTTTTTTATTCAATAACATACACAAGTGCAAGAGTTTCAAGGAAGGAAGTTGCTGGATTATAGGTTATATGAATATCAATTTTGCAATATAATATCAACTTAATTTCCAAAATAGGTGTACCAATTTACATTCTTACCAGTGATATTTATGAGTTTATATTGATCTATATCTTTTAATACCTGTAGCTCTTGTTAAGCTTAATTTTCATCATTTTGACTGTTAAATACTTTTTTATTGTTGTTTTAATTTGCATTTTCCTGAATACTAATATTGTTGACTTTTTTTTTTGAGACAGAGTCTTGCTCTGTCTCCCAGGCTGGAGTGCAGTGGTGCGATCTCGGCTCACTGCAAGCTCCGCCTCCCGGATTCGTGCCATTCTCCTGCCTCAGCCTCCCCAGTAGCTGGGACTACAGGTGCCCGTCACCACGCCCATCTAATTTTTTTTGTATTTTCAGTAGAGACGGGGTTTCACCATATTAGCCAGGATGGTCTCGATTTCTTGACCTCATGATCTGCCCGCCTCAGCCTCCCATTGTTGACCATTTTTATATGTTTATTTACCTATGTGGTTTTCTTTTCTCATAAAATGCTTGTTCATATATTTTCCCCATTTCTACTTATCTTGTTCTTATTAAATTGCCAAAGTGCATATGTGATCTGTATTCTGAAAATTTGTTGATGTGCTGGTCAGTCTCAACACAGTAAACAATAACCATTCTAGAAATTTGAAACAAGAAAGGATTTAATTCACTTACATTTAAGTGCTACTAAATCATTAGTTTTACAGTTACACCTCAGAGACTATAATCCTGGGGTTAGGAATTTATGGTGCTACCACCATCCCTGGTGCTACCACCATCCCTATTACTACCATGGCAGCATTATTTCCATAAAACTGGAGACTTGATATTGGAAAAAGGGTCATAGGATATTGACTACAAGAGACATTTTTGTCTATCCAGTTTTACTTACCAGCCACCATATCAACAGAAAAAATGGTCTCAGCTCACTTCTACCTTTTATATCTCCCTTAAATGCCTCTCACTGGTAAAATTTTAATCTTATCCACAACTTCAGCTGCAAGACATCTGGGCAATGTAGTTTTGGACTTTCCGCCCCTGGGACAGAGGCCAGAATGTGGAAGGGAACAGAAATAAATAATGAGTGCCAGTGGTTCATACAACACATTAGATAATAGGTGTTTCAAATGTATATTCCCAGACTGTGGTGTGTTTGATGAACAGAATTTTTTTTTCTTTTTTTTTTTTAACTTAAAGTAAATCTCTCACTCTTCTCCTGTGGTTATTGTTCTTTGTATCTCCTGTAAGAAGTCCTTTCTCAGCCTAATGTCATAGAGATCTTCTCTTATATTTGCTACTAAAAAATGTTTAAAGCTTTTCCATACCAAGTTTCTTAACTTTAACCCATAAAATTCATATAACTGGACTGAAATCTGATACATCATTTTTTGTTGACTTTTAACTAGACTAAAAATCCAAAATTTTTTGAGTTCTAAATTTATTCAAAACATGGGCTCTTTTAAAGTTTGACATTCTTTTATTTGTATTTTTCTATGTTATGTAGTAATTTTATTTTATTTTGATTATATTTATTTTTATTTTAGTGTAGCTATATTTAAATTAATACATGCTGTTCCTTAAAATTACATAGCACACCCACGGAATTGTCTTGCCTTTGGCTATTTCATGATTTTCTCTCTTCCTTGTATTTTCCATTAGTTTTCTTTCCTTCTAATTTCCAAAAACTTCATATATTTAAGCTGTCAGTGTTTACTGAAGTGCAAAATAAAGTACATCTTTTAATTGGGCTTTTAGTTTTTCTCATTTATTTTTGTTTTTTTCCCATGGGAAATTTTTTTTAATCTTAGTATTTTATGATTTACTATTCTTTTCCAAAATACTTATTAAGCAGGGATGTACTCTTCCTAGTAAAGAATATTATAAATATTTCTGAATCACCAATATACTTAGATAAAGCTTGTATTTTAATGTGCTGAGAATAGACAAGGTATTTTATGGTTGAGATAATCATTTAATTGTTTCCTATATTGGACTTTATATTATTCCTTTCATATGCAGGTCTTTTGAAGCCAGTCTTTAAAATCTGCCTTCACCTATTTAACGGTAATTCAGTCATGTCTCATGAGTATGTTTATTCCTAGTACAATAGGAAAGTGTAAAAAAATGGATTCTAAGTTTATTAAAGACACTTTTGGTAACTTGAAAGTGTTAATCAGGTTTTAAAGTGAACTCTACTAATTATGTCATTAAGAAACATCCTACTTTTAATTATATATTGTGGCTAAGGACTACAAAATCAAAAGAATGTATTATTTTTAAAGAAAATACCTTATATATACATGGACAGGTTTAAATAATGGAAGGTAGCAATGGTGTGGATTATGTAAAAGTATACAATTTCAGATTACTGAATTTTGGAAAAATTTTAATACTTACATTTACATATCAGAGTATACTATCTGAGAATTTACTACAATAGGAAATAATGAAGTCATTTTATAAAACTCAGACTGAGGAAAATGTAAAAAAAAAATACATATTATTATTATTATCATGCTCCCTTCCATTTTTAAATCCTTGAAATGTATTTCATGTTGAGATTATAGAGGTTTTTGTTTTGTTTTGTCTTGTTTCTTTCTCAATACTATTTTTTCCTCCTCTCATAGCTTTCCAGAGGAAGGAAATTGAGTAAGATAATTGAATAAATGAATGAATACATGTACAGCATTTTCTGATACTAAGTAAATACAAAGTAAATTTTATTGTTGTCATTTTTTATTTTACTGTTGAGGGTATGGAAGACATCATCTGTTGCCAGTACAAGAGCTGTTTTTTTTTCCTTCATACATAGTCACATAACCCTAATTTTGTTCCAGTGGCAATGTGCTCAGGGAAGATGAGCTTATTCCATAACCTGAGGTAATAAGTCATTGACCTAAACCAGTTTTTATGTCTTTTTGCCAGGAATTGGTTTGGAAGTGGACATGTGACCTAGTTTTAGCCAGTGAGATGAAAGTCCCTTGTGGAGCTTCTGAAAAAGTTTTTCTCTCTGATAAGAGGAGAGAGGGCAAAAAGAAAGCCTTCCCCTTTTCCTGCTCCTTGTCATTTTAGAAAGTGATGTGTGAAGCTGCTATAGCCATTTTTAAACTATGATTGTAGATATCAGCACATGAGAAGATTAGAAGAAGAGAAACATGAGGAAACCTTTGCAAAGTCCTTAAGTGATATTATTGAGCTACTGAAGCAAATCTGGAACTATATACCTTCCAACTTAATATTAGGTGAAGTAAGAAAATAGTCATTCACAACCGTTGAGTGATTACTAAATGTCAGGCACCATTTAAGGCTTTGAGATACATTAGTGAATAAAATAGACAGAAATGACTATTCTCACTTATTTGTTGGGTGTTTTATTACTTGTAGCCTAAGTGTACTGATAAAGAGATTTAATTACATCTGTCAGGGGTTCACAAACTGTAGCTTGTGGGTCAAATCTGGCCTGCCACATCTTTTTATAAATAAAATTTATTGGATCACAGCCATGCTTAGTCATTTAAATCTTGTTGATGGCTTTGTTTTATGTGACTATGAAGTTGAATAGTCGTGACAGAGATTGAATGGCTCACAAAACCTAAAATATTTATGTACTCTCTGGCCTTTTACATAAAAAGTTTACTAATCCCTAATACATGGAATGTTCTTTCACTGCAGAATCTCTTAAACTGGTCTTTAACAGTCACTAAAAAGTTTTTTTGAAATTTAAAACTATCTTAAGATATTTATTTAGGCATATATATATATATATATATAGCTTTAGAACACAGAAACATAAAACTTCAACAAGATTATAAAGTTAGTATTTAGCATATAAAGTAGTTAGTATATGAATCTAGTATGTAGTGATATTTGGCATCTTGTTATTTTTTATTTTCTGATAGCCTGATATTTATTTTTTTAGATTACAACTAAATATGTTACAGATTTAAATAACATTATACAATGGAATTATTTTAAACACTTATTTTTATTGATGTGCTTTCATAATTTGACTAATGATAATCAATGGTATGATATTTGATCTTACTTCCCCTAATTATGCCATTCATTTGTGCTGACAATATCCTATGAATACAGTATAGTAAATGTTTATTATCTATTTGAAATTTGGGAAGGAGTTCATGTATATATTTACAAAAACAATAATAAAGCCATTATTTTTCAGTGCTAGCCCAGAAAATGTTATTCTCCTCCCTTCAAATTGATGTGTTTATGTAATTTCAGAAGATGTGATGTAAATGTTCTATCTATTCTTGAGTGAAAAAGAGAAAAGAAATTTCTGGGATTACATGGTCAACACCACTCTGCTGGTGCTACTTGAGGTCATTATACTGTGAAGAAAAGCATTCCCCAAAGCCCGCCAGAATCCTATCTGCCTAAGCTTTAACTATGAAGTTTTAAATATCTATTTTTAATAATCTCGTGAAAAGCCAGAACTAACCTGGTTTCTATATGTATCTTGGTTTATAATTGAGTTTATGTTTTGGTATTTATGTATGTATAGACCTCTCATCAAACTTCATTTTGTTACTAGTCTTAAGTCACTCTGACCTTACATTGGCTTCCTTAAACATGGTAAACTAGTTTCAACCTGAGGACCTTTTACTTGTTTCTTCTGCCTTGAATGTGTTTCTCCAGAGCTGCACAGGACTGGACTTTTCCCTTCATCCAGTCTCTTATCAAGGAGGCATTCCTGAGCGCATTATCTAGCCCTGCTCTTTCCAACCCCTCCCCTCTTTCATTTTTATATTATCCAATTTTATTTTATTCATAGTACCTTATTACTATTTGAATTTTTTTTTTTTTTTTTTTTTTTTTTTTACTTTAAGTTCTGGGATACATGGGCAGAACATGCAGGTTTGTTACATAGGTATACATGTGCCATGGTGGTTTGCTGCACCTATCAACCCGTCATCCAGGTTTTAAGCCCCGCATGCATTAGGTATTTGTCTAATGCTCTCCCTTCCCTTGCCCCCCACCCCCGAATAGGCCCCAATGTGTGATGTTCCCCTCCCTGTGTCCATGTGTTCTCATTGTTCAACTCCCACCTATGAGTGAGAACATGCAGTGTTTGGTTTTCTGTTCCTGTGTTAGTTTGTTAAGAATGGTGGCTTCCAGCTTCATCCATGTCCCTGCAAAGGACATGAACTCATTCTTTTTTATGGCTGCATAGTATTCTGTGGTATATATGTGTATATGTGCCACATTTTCTTTATCCAGTCTCTCATTGATGGGCATTTGGGTTGGTTCCAAGTCTTTGCTATTGTAAATAGTGCTTCAGTAAACATATGTGTACATGTGTCTTGATGGTAGAATAATTTACAATTTTTTGGGTATATACACAGTAATGGGATTGCTGGATCAAATGGAATTTCTGGTTCTAGATCCTTGAGGAATTGCCACACTGTCTTCCACAATGGTTGAACTAATTTACACTCCCACCAACAGTGTAAAAGCATTCCTATTTCTCCACAGCCTCACCAGCATCTGTTGTTTCCTGGCTTTTTAATGATTGCCATTCTAACTGGTGTGAGGTGGTATCTCATTGTAGTTCTGATTCGCATTTCTCTAATGACCAGTGATCATGAGCTTTTTTTCATGTTTGTTGGCTGTATAAATATCTTCTTTTGAGAAGTGTCTGTTCATATCCTTCACCCACTTTTTGATGGGGTTTTTTTTTCTTGTAAATTTGTTTAAGTTCCTTGCAGATTGTGGATATTAGACCTTTGTCAGATGGATAGCTTGAAAAAATTTTCTCCCATTCTGTAGGTTGCCTGTTCACTCTGATGATAGTTTATTTTGCTGTGCAGAAGCTCTTTCATTTAATTCGATCCCATTTGTCAATTTTGGCTTTTGTTGCAATTGCTTTTGGTGTTTTGGTCATGAAGTCTTTGCCCATGCCTTTGTCCTGAATGGTATTGCCTGGGTTTTCTTCTAGGGTTTTTATGGTTTTGGGTTTTACATTTAAGTCTTTAATTTATTTTGAGTTAATTTTTGTATAAGGTGTAAGGAAGGGGTCCAGTTTCAGTTTACTGCATAGGGCTAGCCAGTTTTCCTGGCACCATTAATTAAATAGGGAATCCTTTCCCCATTGCTTGTTTTTCCCAGGTTTATTGAAGATCAGATGGTTGTAGATGTGTGGTGTTATTTCTGAGTTTTCTGTTCTGTTCCATTGGTCTATATATATCTGATTTGATACCAGTAACATGCTGTTTTGGTTACTGTAGCCTTGTAGTATAGTTTGAAGTCAGGTGGCATGATCTTTTTGATTAGCTTTGTTCTTTTTGCTTAGGATTGTCTCCAGCTTTGTTCTTTTTGCTTAGGATTGTCTTGGCTATATGGGCTCTTTTTTGATTCCATATGAAATTTAAAGTGTTTTTTCTAATTCTGTGAAGAAAGTCAATGGTAGCTTGATGGGAATAACATTGAATCTATAAATTACTTTGGGCAATATGACCATTTTCACAATATTAATTCTTCCTATCCATGAGCATGGAATGTTTTTCCATTTGTTTCTGTCCTCTCTTGAGCAGTGGTTTGTAGTTCTCCTTGAAGAGGTCCTTCATATCCCTTGTAAGTTGGATTCCTACGTATTTTATTCTCTTTGTAGCAATTGTGAATGGGAGTTCACTCATGATTTGGCTCTCTGCTTGTCTATTGTTGTTGTATAGGAATCCTTTGATTTTGCACATTAATTTGGTATCCTGAGACTTTGCTGAAGTTGCTTATCAGCTTAAGGAGTTTCTGGGCTGATACGATGGGGTTTTCTAAATATACAATCATGTTGCAGTCAAACAGACACAATTTGACTTCCTCTCTTCCTATTTGAATATCCTTTCTTTCTTTCTGTTGCCTGATTGCCCTGGCCAGAGCTTCCAATACTATGTTTAATAGGAGTGGTGAGAGAGGGCATCCTTGTAAT
This sequence comes from Homo sapiens, assembly GCF_000001405.40. Taxonomy (NCBI): domain Eukaryota; kingdom Metazoa; phylum Chordata; class Mammalia; order Primates; family Hominidae; genus Homo; species Homo sapiens. The sequence goes on along the minus strand of NC_000004.12, from coordinate 129,031,401 downwards.
GTGCCAGTTTTCTAAGGGAACGCTTTCAGCTTTTGCCCATTCAGTATCATACTGGCTATGGGTTTGTCATAAATACCTCTTACTAATTTGAGAAATGCTCCATTAATACCTAGTTTATTGAGAGTTTTTAGCATGAAGGATGTTGAATTTTATCAAAGGCCTTTTCTGCATCTATTGAGATAATCATGTGGTTTTTGTCATTGGTTCTGTTTATGTGATGAATTTCATTTATTGATTTGCATACGTTGAACCAGCCTTGTATCCTAGGGATGAAAGCGACTTGATCTTGGTGGATAAGCTTTTTGATGTGCTGCTGGATTCGGTTTGCTAGTATTTTATTGAGGATTTTTGCATCGATGTTCATCAGGGATATTGGCCTGAAATTTTGTTTTCTGTCTGGTTTTGGTATCAGGACGATGCTGGCCTCATAAAATGAGTTAGGGAGGAGTCCCTCTTTCTCTATTGTTTGGAATAGTTTCAGAAGGAATGCTACCAGCTCCTCTACACCCCACATCAACAGAATATTGATGTAGAATTCGGCTGTGAATCTGTCTGGTCCTGGGCTTGTTTGAGTTGGTAGGCTATTAAGTACTGCCTCAATTTTAGAACTTGTTTTTGGTCTATTCAAGGATTCGACTTCTTCCTGGTTTAGTCTTGGGAGGGTGTATGTGTTCAGGAATGTATCCACTTCTAGATTTTCTATTTTATTTGCATAGAGATATTTAGAGTATTTTCTAATGGTAGTTTTTATTTCTGTGGGATCAGTGGTGATATCCCCATTATCATTTTTTATTGTGTCTATTTGATTCTTCTCTCTTTTCTTCTTTATTAGTTGAGCTAGAGGTCCGTCTATATTGTTAATATTTTGAAAAAACCAGCTCCTGGATTCATTCATTTTTTGAGCAGTTTTTCATGTCTCTGTCTCCTTCAGTTCTGCTCTGATCTTAGTTATTCATTGTCTTCTGCTAGCTTTTCCATTTGTTTGCTCTTGCTTCTCTAGTTATTTTAATTGTAATGTTAGGGTGTTGATTTTAGATCTTTCCCACTTTCTGATGTGGGCATTTAGTGCTATAAATTTCCCTCTTAACACTGCTTTAGCTGTGTCCCAGAGATTATGGTACATTGTGTCTTTGTTCTCATTGGTTTCAAAGAACTTCTTGATTTCTGTCTCAGTTTTGTTATTTACGCAGTAGTCATTCAGGAACAGGTTGTTTAATTTCCATGTAGTTGTGCAGTTTTGAGTGAGTTTCTTAATCCCGAGTTCTAATTTGATTGCACTGTGATCTGAGAGACTGTTTGTTATGAACTCCATTCTTTTTCATTTGTGGAAGAGTTTTCTACTTCCAATTATGTAGCCTATTTTAGAATACATGGTATGTGGTGCTGAGAATAATGTATATTCTGTTGATGTGGGGTGTAGAGTTCTGTAGATGTCTATTAGGTCCGCTTGGTCCAGAGCTGAGTTCAAGTCTTGAATATCCTTGTTAATTTTCTGTTTTATTGATCTAATATTGACAGTGGGATGTTAAAGTCTCCCACTAGTATTGTATGGGAGCCTAAGTCTCTTTGTAGGTCTGTAAGAACTTGTTTTATGAATCTGGTTGCTCATGTATTTGGTACACATATATTTAGGGTAGTTAGCTCTTCCTGTTGCATTGATCCATTTACCATTATGTAATGCCCTTCTTTGTCTTTTTGGGGTTTTTTTTGTTTGTTTATTATTATTATACTTTTAAGTTTTAGGGTACATGTGCACAATGTGCAGATTGGTTACGTATGTATACATGTGCCATGCTGGTGTGCTGCACCCATTAACTCGTCATTTAGCATTAGGTATATCTCCTAATGCTATCCCTCCCCCCTCCCTCCACCCCACAACAGGCCCTGGTGTGTGATGGTCCCCTTCCTGTGTCCATGTGTTCTCATTGTTCAATTCCCACCTATGAGTGAGAACATGCGGTGTTTGGTTTTTTGTCCTTGAGACAGTTTGCTGAGAATGATGGTTTCCAGCTTCATCCATGTCTCTACAAAGGACATGAACTCATCATTTTTTATGGCTGCATAGTATTCCATGGTGTATATGTGCCACATTTTCTTAATCCAGTCTATCATTGTTGGACATTTGGGTTGGTTCCAAGTCTTTGCTATTGTGAATAGTGCCGCAATAAACATACATGTGCGTGTGTCTTTATACCAGCATGATTTATAATCCTCTGGGTATGTACCCAGTAATGGAATGGCTGGGTCAAATGGTATTTCTAGTTCTAGATCCCTGAGGAATTGCCACACTTACTTCCACAAGGGTTGAACTACTTTACAGTCCCACCAACAGTGTAAAAGTGTTCCTATTTCTCCGCATCCTCTCCAGCACCTGTTGTTTCCTGACTTTTTAATGATTGCCATTCTAACTGGTGTGAGATGGTATCTCACTGTGGTTTTGATTTGCATTTCTCTGATTGCCAGTGATGGTGAGCGTTTTTTCACATGCTTTTTGGCTGCATAAATGTCTTCTTTTGAGAAATGTCTGTTCATGTCCTTTGCCCACTTTTTGATGGGATGGTTTTTTTTTTGTTGTAAATTTGTTGGAGTTCATTGTAGATTCTGGATATTAGCCTTTTGTCAGATGAGTAGGTTGCAACAATTTTCTCCCTTTTTGTAGGTTGCCTGTTCACTCTGATGGTAGTTTCTTTTGCTGTGCAGAAGCTCTTTAGTTTAATTAGATGCCATTTGTCAATTTTGGCTTTTGTTGCCATTGCTTTTGGTGTTTTAGACATGAAGTCCTTGCCCATACCTATGTCTTGAATGGTAATGCATAGGTTTTCTTCTAGGGTTTTTATGGTTTTAGGTCTCACATTTAAGTCTTTAATCCATCTTGAGTTAATTTTTGTATAAGGTGTAAGGAAGGGATCCAGTTTCAGCTTTCTACATACGGCTAGCCAGTTTTCCCAGCACCATTTATTAAATAGGGAATCCTTTCCCCATTGCTTGTTTTTCTCAGGTTTGTCAAAGATCAGATAGTTGTAGATATGCGGTGTTATTTCTGAGGGCTCTGTTCTGTTCCATTGATCTATATCTCTGTTTTGGTACCAGTACCATGCTGTTTTGGTTACTGTAGCCTTGCAGTATAGTTTGAAGTCAGGTAGCGTGATGCCTCCAGCTTTGTTCTTTTGGCTTAGGATTGACTTGGCGATGCGGGCTCTTTTTTGGTTCCATATGAAATTTCAAGTAGTTTTTTCCAGTTCTGTGAAGAAAGTCATTGGTAGCTTGATGGGGATGGCATTCAATCTATAAATTACCTTGGGCAGTTTGGCCATTTTCACAATATTGATTCTTCCTGCCCATGAGCATGGAATGTTCTTCCATTTGTTTGTATCCTCTTTTATTTCATTGAGCAGTGGTTTGTAGTTCTCCTTGAAGAGGTCCTTCCCGTCCCTTGTAAGTTGGATTCCTAGGTATTTTATTCTCTTTGAAGCAATTGTGAATGGGAGTTCACTCATGATTTGGCTCTCTGTTTGTCTGTTATTGGTGTATAAGAATACTTGTGATTTTTGTATATTGATTTTGTATCCTGAGACTTTGCTGAGTTGCTTATCAGCTTAAGGAGATTTTGGGCTGAGACGATGGGGTTTTCTAGATATACAATCATGTCATCTGCAAACAGGGACAATTTGACTGCCTCTTTTCCTAATTGAATACCCTTTATTTCCTTCTCCTGCCTAATTGCCCTGGCCAGAACTTCCAACACTATGTTGAATAGGAGTGGTGAGAGAGGACATCCCTGTCTTGTGCCAGTTTTCAAAGGGAATGCTTCCAGTTTTTGCCCATTCAGTATGATATTGGCTGTGGGTTTGTCATAGATAGCTCTTATTATTTTGAGATACGTCCCATCAATACCTAATTTATTGAGAGTTTTTGGCATGAAGCGTTGTTGAATTTTGTCAAAGGCCTTTTCCGCATCTATTGACATAATCATGTGGTTTTTGTCTTTGTTATTGATTTGCGTATATTTAACCAGCTTTGCATCCCAGGGATGAAGCCCACTTGATCATGGTGGATAAGCTTTTTGATGTGCTGCTGGATTCGGTTTGCCAGTATTTTATTGAGGATTTTTGCATCAGTGTTCATCAAGGATATTGGTCTAAAATTCTCTTTTTTGGTTGTGTCTCTGCCTGGCTTTGGTATCAGGATGATGCTGGCCTCATAAAATGAGTTAGGGAAGATTCCCTCCTTTTCTATTGATTGGAATAGTTTCGGAAGGAATGGTACCAGTTCCTCCTTGTACCTCTGGTAGAATTCGGCTGTGAATCCATCTGGTCCTGGACTCTTTTTGGTTGGTAAGTTATTGATTATTGCCACAATTTCAGAGCCTGTTATTGGTCTATTCAGAGATTCAACTTCTTCCTGGTTTAGTCTTGGGAGGGTGTATGTGTCGAGGAATTTATCCATTTCTTCTAGATTTTCTAGTTTATTTGCATAGAGGTGTTTGTAGTATTCTCTGATGGTAGTTTGTATTTCTGTGAGATCAGTGGTGATATCCCCTTTATCATTTTTTATTGCGTCTATTTGATTCTTCTCTCTTTCCTTCTTTATTAGTCTTGCTAGCGGTCTATCAATTTTGTTGATCCTTTCAAAAAACCAGCTCCTGGATTCATTAATTTTTTGAAGGGTTTTTTGTGTCTCTGTTTCCTTCAGTTCTGCTCTGATCTTAGTTATTTCTTGCCTTCTGCTAGCTTTTGAATGTGTTTGCTCTTGCTTTTCTAGTTCTTTTAATTATGATGTTAGGGTGTCAATTTTGGATCTTTCCTGCTTTCTCTTGTGGGCATTTAGTGCTGTAAATTTCTCTCTACACACTGCTTTGAATATGTCGCAGAGATTCTGGTATGTTGTGTCTTTGTTCTCGTTGGTTTCAAAGAACATCTTTATTTCTGCCTTCATTTCATTATTTACCCAGTAGTCATTCAGGAGCAGGTTGTTCAGTTTCCATGTAGTTGAGTGGTTTTGAGTGAGTTTCTTAGTCCTGAGTTCTAGTTTGATTGCACTGTGGTCTGAGAGACAGTTTGTTATAATTTCCGTTCTTTTACATTTGCTGAGGAGAGCTTTACTTCCCAGTATGTGGTCAATTTTGGAATAGGTGTGGTGTGGTGCTGAAAATAATGTATATTCTGTTGATTTGGGGTGGAGAGTTGTGTAGATGTCTATTAGGTCTGCTTGGTGCAGAGCTGAGTTCAATTCCTGGATATCCTTGTTAACTTTCTGTCTCGTTGATCTGTCTAATGTTGACAGTGGGGTGTTAAAGTCTCCCATTATTATTGTGTTGGAGTCTAAGTCTCTTTGTAGGTCACTCAGGACTTGCTTTATGTATGTGGGTGCTCCTGTATTCGGTGCATATATATTTAGGATAGTTAGCTCTTCTTGTTGAATTGATCCCTTTACCATTATGTAATGGCCTTCTTTGTCTCTTTTGATCTTTGTTGGTTTAAAGTCTGTTTTATCAGAGACTAGGATTGCAAGCCCTGCCTTTTTTTGTTTTCCATTTGCTTGGTAGATCTTCCTCCATCCTTTTATTTTGAGCCTATGTGTGTCTCTGCACGTGAGATGGGTTTCCTGAATACAGCACACTGATGTGTCTTGACTCTTTATCCAATTTGCCTGTCTGTGTCTTTTAATTGGAGCATTTAGTCCATTTGCATTTAAAGTTAATATTGTTATGTGTGAATTTGATCCTGTCATTATGATGTTAGCTGGTTATTTTGCTCGTTAGTTTATGCAGTTTCTTCCTAGCCTCGATGGTCTTTACAATTTGGCATGATTTTGCAGTGGCTGGTACCGGTTGTTCCTTTCCATGTTTAGTGCTTCCTTCAGGAGCTCTTTTAGGGCAGGCCTGGTGGTGACAAAATCTCTCAGCATTTGCTTTTCTGTAAAGGATTTTATTTCTCCTTCACTTATGAAGCTTAGTTTGGCTGGATATGAAATTCTGGGTTGAAAATTCTTTTCTTTAAGAATGTTGAATATTGGCCCCCACTCTCTTCTGGCTTGTAGCGTTTCTGCCAAGAGATCCGCTGTTAGTCTGATGGGCTTCCCTTTGTGGGTAACCCGACCTTTCTCTCTGGCTGCCCTTAACATTTTTTCCTTCATTTCCACTTTGGTGAATCTGACAATTATGTGTCTTGGAGTTGCTCTTCTCAAGGAGTTTCTTTATGGTGTTCTCTGTATTTCCTGAATGTGAATGTTGGCCTGCCTTGCTAGATTGGGGAAGTTCTCCTGAATAATATCCTGCAGAGTGTTTTCCAACTTGGTTCCATTCTCCCCGTCACTTTCAGGTACACCAATCAGACGTAGATTTGGTCTTTTCACATAGTCCCATATTTCTTGGAGGCTTTGTTTGTTTCTTTTTATTCTTTTTTCTCTAAACTTCCCTTCTCGCTTCATTTCATTCATTTCATCTTCCATCACTGATACCCTTTCTTCCAGTTGATCGCATCGGCTCCTGAGGCTTCTGCATTCTTCACGTAGTTCTCGAGCCTTGGTTTTCAGCTCCATCAGCTCCTTTAAGCACTTCTCTGTATTGGTTATTCTAGTTATACATTCATCTAAATTTTTTTCAAAGTTTTTAACTTCTTTGCCTTTGGTTTGAATTTCCTCCTGTAGCTCGGAGTAGTTTGATCATCTGAAGCCTTCTTCTCTCAACTCGTCAAAGTCATTCTCTGTCCAGCTTTGTTCCGTTGCTGGTGAGGAACTGCGTTCCTTTGGAGGAGGAGAGTCGCTCTGCTTTTTAGAGTTTCCAGTTGTTCTGCTCTGTTTTTTCCCCATCTTTGTGGTTTTATCTACTTTTGGTCTTTGATGATGGTGATGTACAGATGGGTTTTTGGTGTGGATGTCCTTTCTGTTTGTTAGTTTTCCTTCTAACAGACAGGACCCTCAGCGGCAGGTCTGTTGGAGTTTCCTAGAGGTCCATTCCAGACCCTGTTTGCCTGGGTAACAGCAGCAGTGGCTGCAGAACAGCAGATTTTCGTGAATCGCGAATGCTGCTGCCTGATCGTTCCTCTGGAAGTTTTGTCTCAGAGGAGTACCCGGCCATGTGAGGTGTCAGTCTGCCCCTACTTGGGGGTGCCTTCCAGTTAGGCTGCTCAGGGGTCAGGGGTCAGGGGTCAGAGACCCACTTGAGGAGGCAGTCTGCCCGTTCTCAGATCTCCAGCGGTGTGCTGGGAAAACCACTGCTCTCTTCAAAGCTGTCAGACAGGGACATTTAAGTCTGCAGAGGTTACTGCTGTCTTTTTGTTTGTCTGTGCCCTGCCCCCAGAGGTGGAGCCTACAGAGGCAGGCAGGCCTCCTTGAGCTGTGGTGGGCTCCACCCAGTTCGAGCTTCCCGGCTGCTTTGTTTACCTAAGCAAGCCTGGGCAATGGCGGGCGCCCCTCCCCCAGCCTCGCTGCCGCCTTGCAGTTTGATCTCAATACTGCTGTGCTAGCAATCAGCGAGACTCCGTGGGCGTAGGACCCTCCAAGCCAGGTGCGGGATATAATCTCCTGGTGTGCCATTTTCTAAGCCCGTCGGAAAAGCGCAGTATTAGGGTGGGAGTGACCCGATTTTCCAGGTGCAGTCTGTCACCCCTTTCTTTGACTAGGAAAGGGAACTCCCTGACCCCTTGCGCTTCCCGAGTGAGGCAATGCCTCGCCCTGCTTCAGCTCGCACACAGTGCACTGCACCCACTGTCCTGCACCCACTGTCTGGCACCCCCTAGTGAGATGAACCCAGTACCTCAGATGGAAATGCAGAAATCACCCGTTTTCTGCGTTGCTCACGCTGGGAGCTGTAGACCCGAGCTGTTCCTATTCGGCCATCTTGGCTCCACCCTCTTTGTCTTTTTTGATCTCTGTTGGTTTAAAGTCTGTTTTATCAGAGACTAGGATTACAACCTTTGCTTTTTTTTGCTTTTCATTTGCTTGGTAAATATTCCTCCATCCCTTTATTTTGAGCCTATGTGTGTCTTTACACGTGAGATAGGTCTCCTGAATACAGCACACCAATGGGTCTTGACTCTTTATCCTATTTGCCAGTCTGTGTGTTTAAATTGGGGCATTTAGCCCATTTACATTTAAGGTTAATATTGTTGTGTGTGAATTTGATCCTGTCGCCATGATGCTAGCTGGATATTTTGCACATTAGTTAAGGCAGTTTCTTCATAGTGTCATTGGTCTTTATATTTTATTGTGTTTTTGCAGTGGCTGGTACTGGTTTTTCCTTTCCATATTTAGTGCTTCCTTCAGGAGCTCTTGGAAGACAGATGTGGTGGTGACAAAATACCTCAGCATTTGCTTGTCTTTAAATGATTTTATTTCCCCTTCATTTGTGAAGCTTAGTTTGGCTGGGTATGAAATTTTTGGTTGAAAATTATTCTCTTTAAGATTGTTGGATATTGGCCCCCAGTCTGTTCTGGCCTGTAGGATTTCTGCAGAGAGATCTGCTGTTAGTCTAATGAGTTTCCCTTTGTAGGTAACCTGACCTTTCTCTCTGGCTGCCCTTAACATTTTTTCCTTCATTTCAACCTTGGAAAATCTGATGATTATGTGACTTAGGGTTGCTCTTCTCAAGGAGTATCTTAGTGGTGTTCTCCGCATTTCCTGAATTTGAATGTTGGCCTGCCTTGCTAGGTTGGGGAAGTTCTCCTGGATGATATCCTGAAGAGTGTTTTCTGACTTGGTTCCATTCTCCCTGTCACTTTCAGGTTCCCCAGTCAGTCGTAGGTTTGGTCTTTTCACATAGTCCCATATTTCTTGGAGTCTTTGTTCATTCCTTTTCATGCTTTTTTCTCTAATCTTTCCTTCAGATTTTATTTCAGTAAATTGATCTTCAGATGTGATGTCCTTTCTTCCATTTGATCGATTTGGCTATTGATACTTTTGTATGCTTCACTAAGTTCTCGTGCTGTGTTTTTCAGCTCCATCAAGTCATTTATGTTCCTCTTTAAACTGGTTATTCTAGTTAGCAGTTCCTGTAAACTTTTGTCAAGGTTCCTAGCTTCCTTGCATTGGGTTAGAACATGCTCCTTTAACGCAGAGGAGTTTTTTTATTACCCACCTTCTGAAGCCTACTTCTGTCAATTCTTTAACCTCATTCTTTGTCCAGTTTTGTGCTCTTGTTGGAGAGGAGTTGCAATCATTTGGAGCAGAAGAGGCATTCTGGTTTTTGGAATTTTCTGCGTTTTTGCACTGATTTTTCCTCATCTTCATGGATTTATCTACCTTTGATTTTTGAGGCTGATGAGCTTTGGATGGGGCTTTTTGTGGGGGGGTCTTTTATGTTGATGTTGTTGCTTTCTGTTTGTTAGTTTTTCTTCTAACAGGCCCCTCTTCTGCAGCTCTGCTGCAGTTTGCTGGAGGTCCACTCCAGACCTGTTCGCCTGGGTATCTCTAGTGGAGGGTGCAGAACAGCAAAAATTGCTACCTGCTCCATCCCAGAGAGTCACCGGCCTGATGCCAGCTGGAGCTCTCCTATATGAGATGTCTGTCAGCCCCTGTTGGGAGGTTTCTCCCTGTCAGGAGGCATGGGAGTCAGGGACCCACTTGAGATAGTCTGTCCCTTAGCAGAGCTGGTGCGCTGTGCTGGGAGAATCCCTCTTGTCAGGATCAGCTGCTTTCTTCACAACCGGCAGGCAGGAACGATTAAATCTGCTGAAGCTGTGCCCACAGCCGCCCCTTCCTTAGGGCAATGGGGATTTTGTCTGTAGGGCCCTAACTGGGGCTGTTAACTTTCTTTCAGAGATGTCCTGCCCAATTAGGAGGAATCTAGAGAAGTGGTCTGGCCACAGCCACTTTGCCACGCCCAGCCCAGACTTCCCAGCCTCAGCACTGTCAGGGGAAAACTGCCTATTCAAGCCTCAGTAATGGCGGATGCCCCTCCCGCAACCAAGCTTGATCATATCAGGTGGACTTCAGACTGCTGTGCTTGCACCAAAATTTCAAGCTAGTGGTCCTTAGCTTGCTGGGTTTCATGGGAGTTGGACCCGCCGAGCAAGACCACTTGGCTCCCTGGCTTCAGCCCCCTTTCCAGGGGAGCAAACGGTTCTGTCTCACTCTCGTTCCAGGCGCCACTGGGGTATGAAACAGCCACACAGTTTTGTGCTTGAAACTCAGGGCCCTGGTGGTTTAGGCACACGGGGGAATCTCCTGATCTACAGATTGCAGAAACCGTGGGAAAAGCATAGTAACCAGTCCCTCACAGCTTTCCTTGGCTGTGGGAGGGAGTTCCCTGACTCCTTGCACTTCCTGGGTAAAGCGACACCCCACCCTACTTCTGTTCATCCTCCATGGGTTGGACCCACTGCCTAACCAGTCCCGATGAGATGAACTGAGTACCTCAGTTGGAAATGCAGAAATCATCTTCCTTCTGCGTTGGTCTTGCTGGGAGCTGCAGACCGGAGCTGTTCCTGTTTGGCTATTTACTACCTGAAATTATTTATCTTCTTGCTTATTATTTGTCTTTTCCACTAGAATGTGTGAGAGCAGGACCCTTGTCTCTTCTACCACTCTATACCTACCACCACTGAACAGTGCTTGGTATACATTAAACTGCTCAATAAATATTGAAGGAATGATTTCATGTATTAAAAATGTAAACATATACATATATTCATACCTGGATCTTTTTGCTGTAAAAAACAGAGGCTTGAGTCATTTTAAGTAATAAGGAATATATGATAAGTATATACGTGGAATTTTAACTAGAACTGGGAAACCTGAATGTATCTACAGGTGTGTTCCTCTTACCAGTTCATATGGCCTTATAGTCTCCACTATGGTGGTACCCCTCTATGTAGCTGCTCCTTCTTCTTTTCCAGCCAAAAGACTGATTCTCTCTCTTCTCTAGTCCAAATCCCGAAGAAATCCAGTCTTGTTGGTTTAGCTAATTGCCATCACTTGTATTTGTCAAAGCTCTTTATACCAGTCAGCTGTTGATAGGACTGCCCTCAGAAAATATGCAAAATTATAATCTAATCATTGGCTTCTGTCTGTGCACAGAATAGTGCATGCTATCCCCAGAGCCATGGGCTCTGGGCAAAGGCTACTTAAGTCTGGGCATGGCAGATACCATGACTGTAACATATCCAGTATATATATAAGAGTGTATTTATGGAGGACCTTACTTTGGCTTTAGACATCAAAGAAGGCTTAAATGAGTGGGTAAAATTTGAGCTCAGTCAGAAGAAGTAGAATTTCATTCTCAATGATTTTCAGAAAGTAGGATAAGTAACAGATAACTGAATAAAACCTTATATGTCTAATACATTCAGGCCATGTAATATGGCTGTGTCTCAACATATGTAAGGGAATTATGCAGGATGAGACCCACATGGCGGGTAGGGACCAGATGATATAAAATTTTATATTCTCTGCTTAAGGAATTGACGTTTTCCTGCAGATCACATGGAGAGTTCTTCAGGGATTTTAAACAGAGGAAGGGGTGCAACTTTAGAAGGATTATTTCTAGTTGCACTTTAGAACTGGAGAATACCAGATAGGAAAAAAAAAAATGTGTATGATTAATTGGAGGAGCATAAAAAAGGAAACAACAATTCTAGTTTTTAGGATCTTTTGTATTAATCCCAAAAAGAAATGCTGCACTGTGGCAGTGGTGTGGCTATTTTCACCAAGGAGGCTTGGATTAGTGAAATCTGTCAGGTGAGGTGAGGCATCTGGAGAGTCATACCAGCCAGTTGTCTAGAATGGTTTTTTTTTTTTCATTTATATAAAAAAATACACAAAAATATAGCGGCAGCTGTGGCAGGGTGCAAATGGCTGCTGGGGTGCCTGCCTTCCTATGGGAATTAACCATAGTGGTTATATATGCATATAGTGGCATATATGCCACTATATTTGTCTGACTCTCTCTTCTATCTTATTTGATTCTAAAATTCACTAACTATCCCCCTTTTCCCACCTTTTAACACCTGCAAAAGTGAGATGCAGCCATATTCAATGGCTTGTCAAAGGTTAATAGGCAGCAATTTTTCTTTTTAATGGTATGTAAAAGAATGGTGCATCTTTTGTTGGAGACAAATTCAATTCAAAGAAATACAGACATTGTGTTTGATTCATCTTTGTCACCTAAAAGATCAAAACTTTTATAAAGATGATCTTTGCCAACATTTTATTGTCTGTTTGGAATAATTGGTTATGACTTTATTACTGCAGTCCCTGCCTGGGTAATTTTCTTGGTATTAGTACCTGAATTTATATGGAACTCAGTTTTTTAATATATAAAATTAAAGTCTTGGACTATATGATTTCAGTTTTATTGTTTTATATTCTTATAGTAAGTGCTCTTTAAATCTTTTGAAATGATACTACAAGTGGTAAGCCAGAAAAATAATAAAAACCATAAAGAATAACTATAAAAGCATAGCTATTTATGTAAATTTAATTTAAAAGCACTATCTGATAGGACAATATTTATTTTCTTTTTAAAAAATTTAATCAGAAATGTCTTTTCTCCAGCAAAATAGTCAACACTAAGGTTGGGCAACCTGTTTCTTTTTTGTGTTACTCGTGTTGTACCTGGCATAACATATAATAGAAGCTCCCTTACCTTCTAACTTAGTAGTTGGTCTGTTGATTGAGAGTTAGTAAAATAAGGAATCATAAAAAATACATACTTTAAAAATATTTGACTTTGACTTAATATAAATGTAAATTTATTTTTTAATTATTTGGTATAATGCCAAGGTCTTTACTTTGAGCGAGTCTATTAATTGTAGTTTTCTGTTATCTTTCATGCATAAACTATATATGTTTAACTCATTCTTTATAATTTCCAGTTTAAATTTCTTTGAAGAAGAGTGAGAACTGAGAGATCATTTTGATCTCCTTTCAATCTTCTATGGTTTTATAGTTTTTCTGACTTTTTATAATTACCTTACCTACCTCTAATTAAATAGCAGTGAATTTAAAAACACATCTGTGCTGGGCCTTTCACATTCAGTTTAGGTGTTACAGAAAAACTAACTCTTTATACTTTTATTTATTACTTTGAGGCATACGTAATTAAATTGTGCAATTATAATAACAGGTTGTGGCAAATATGATAGATTGGCTTAACATCTGTTGCACCTTCCTTTTAATATGCCTTCCTGTATTGCAGAGGCTGGAAAACTAAAAACTAGTTCAGGATATGGGTTTGGTTCTGCTAATGATAACCACTTGTACGATACCTAAATTGGGAAATAGTGGGAGAAAAGGCAGTGCCTGAGGCATCTATTTTGTGGCTAAGAATCTAAGAAGCGTAGTATGGCTGTAGAGCCAACAATTCTGGCAGTCACTTCTGTCAAAGCTAAGGCAGGGTGTTGCTGCAGGCAGCAGCTCTGGCAATAACATTCTGGTCTCAGGATCTCAGCAAAGGGATGTGATTCTAGAACCAGCAGTAGATATAGCTGCTTCCTGATTGTCCAGTTTCCTAATTGTGACCAATGTAGCAAACCATTTCTACAATTAGCTAAATCAGTAAGATTGACTTTTTTTCCAGAACTTACACTGGAACATAGAGATCAGCTAATTGATAGTGATAGCAGAAAAGAAGTTATGCAGAGATATATGGTGCTATTAGTGTTATTAATAATACAGATAACACTGTTTGCCTCCAAAACGTTTTATTTAATTTCTCTTCTTAATATCAAGCCAACCAAATATAATAGTACTTTCTCTTTTTTATTTTCCTTTGGCTCTTACATTTTGACTTGCTTATGTATTTTAATAAATACAACTGGAACCAAAATTGTCTTACTATCTTGCATATAATATTTTTTTAGATATTTGTTGAGCTTGAATTGTTGATATTTAATTTTCAAGATGTTTAACCATACATAAAAAATAATGCTTTAAGTGATTTCTTAAACCTTTAGGGTACTTAACTGATTTTCTTAATTATACTGCCAATATGTTGGAAAATCAGATAAAATTCATTTGATCTGTATTTATTTACAAATATATTATTACAACTGTTATATTTAAAAGAAAACAAGAAAATAAGCAAAGATAGATGATATAAGGAGCAAATAACAAGTTTGATTATGTACATGTACATTTCTGTTTATACACACTCATATATTAACCAACAGGAATATACTTTGTTTTTCAAAGACCCATGAAAAACTCACAAACATAGATATGCACTGAAAACCCTCCCTACCACATACACACATACAAATTCCCCCCCCACAAAAAAACACATAAATTTCATCTGCAATAAAATAAAAAATGACAAAAGATGAGCACATAAAAATTTTTAAGCTATATTTTCAAGTAACTCCTGAGATTAAAAAAATGAATTGACAACTAAAATTAAAAACTACTTAAAATGAGCAGCATATCAAACTAGTAAGGTGCAGCCAAAATGGTATGCAGAACACTTTGTCATTTTTAACTAATAGAAAAGTAAAATTGAAAATAAATAAATCAATATTGTTTACATTAATGACAGAGTAGGTACTGTAATCAGGCTTCTTCTGAGAAAAACTAGAAAGTTCAGACAAAACTATAAAATCTTGACAAAATCTTAACAAAAATCGAATCTGTTTAAAGAAATTGGAATCTGTGAAAAACTTATAAGGCAAAGGCCAGGAATAGAAAGAAATCCAGGGATATAAGCCGGCATTTGGGGCTGCTTTCCCTAATTGCATGTCACTATCCAAGAAGAGATGGAGAGAGGTTTAAAAACTGAGGTGAGCTTGAAACAAATTTACAGAGCTAGAACAATAAAAATTGAAATTCAGCATCCATCACACTTGTGGATAGGTGTGTTAGGATCCTCAAAATGCCACTGTACTTTTAAATGTATAATATCTAGCTCATATCTAGCACAAAAAGAATTAGGAACAGGAAGATTGACGCTAACATGGTAACATTTTAAAAGAATCATTAGAAATAATAGGCAGTAAAAACAGATCCACAGGGTTGGCCTTTAAAAAACTGCTTTACCAACAGAAAACTAAACACCACGTGTTCTCACTCATAAGTGGGAGCTGAACAATGAGAATACATGGACACAGGGAGCAGAACAACACACTGGGGCCTGTATGGGGGGATGGGGGAGGAAAGCATCAGGATAAATAGTTAATGCATGTAGGGCTTAATACCTAGGTGATAGTTGATAGGTGCAGCAAACCACCATGGCACACATTTACCTGTGTAACAAACCTGCACATCCTGCGTGTGTATCCCAGATCTTAAAATAAGATAAAACTAAAATAATAAATAATTTTGCTTAATATGGTCAGTGAAATAAGATACAATATTGAGAATTTTGTAAGAGAACTAGAAACTCTAAAAAAAAACATTCTAGAACTGAAAAAATACAATGGAAATGAGACATAACAAGATAATTAATCAAGTGCAACTTAATTTAGAAGAAATATTTTAACTGAATATCAGTAAGAAGCAGAGAGACAAGAAGATAGAAAATATAAACCTGTATGATAGCCAACTAGATGCAGCTAGGTGGAGCAGCTGCCACTGATGGATGGAGATGACTGGCGTACTCCTAACAGATTCTCAGAAGGAAGGCACTGAGAGTGGATGGAGGGAAGACACAGAAGCTGGAATGAAGTGGGAGAAAACTGGACTCATTCCTGGTCTCTGGTGGCTCCGGGGGAATGGGTGAGTTGAATTTTCAAGGAGCATGGGCCTCTGGAACCCTAGCAGGAGGAGAGAGACCCTTCAACCATCGTAGACACTTGAGTTGGCAGGGAGAGATTCCTAGAGAAGTGGTAGGGGCAGCAAGCCAGCTCATGTGGATCCCAGAGGGTTTGGTGCAGGAGCATATGTAGTGGAGCATGGCCAGGGACAGCCATTTCCTTAGGCTCAACTTGCTCTCTTAGGAGACTTAAGCCCTAGGGGAACTGTTCATCCTGAACTCTGCAGGGTGGACTTGCCCCAGCTCAGATAGGGCCAGTCCAACTTGAGCTCCCCTTGGTCTGCTGCCCTCTCCTGGGGCCCCAGCCTGGCCATGCCTGCTTAAAGAACAGCCTCAGGTGCCCTGGGAGCCACATCATAGCTTGTGTGCTAGTGGACCGTGCCTGACTTGCAGAGATCTCCAGCAGAGTGGTCCCAATAACCATACACTAGCCTGCACACTCCCTCCACACACTGCAGCCACCCCTGGACCCATGGCAACTCCCCACATCTCTTTGCTGATACATGTCTGTGCGGGCAGGTTTTGCTTTCCTTGCCCCACTAGCACATGGGAGTGTAGTCCACTCCCCTCTGGTAGCTGACCACCATTGCAGACAGAGCCTTGGTGGGAACAGAGCCAGCCAGTCCCACCCTGCCAGCACTCCACTGTTGCACTAATACTTCCATGGGAGAAAAACTAGGCTCAGAGAACAGCAGATCCTCCCCCACACTGAGCTACCACAGAGAAGGCACACAGACCTGTGCCTACCAGTGCCCCTCCCTGAAGCCAGCACCACCACCTGCACGACCACCCACGTAGTCACCAGTAGGGGCCCCCCACACCCATCCCAGATGAGTTGCCTCTGCCACTGTGGTTAATTCCCACAGGGAGGCAGGCACCCCAGCAGCCACTAGCACTCTGCCACAGCTGCTGCTACTGCTATTGCTGGCACATGTGAATGAGGACAGATCCCTCTGTCACTGCACTATGAAACACTTTGGCTGACACTACACATTGGAATGTAGTGACCAGTGGTCCAGAAGCACCTGGTGCTCGCAGCACAGTGGATTTCTAACCTCATGGAGTGAGAGAACAATGTCAGGGCCCAATACAAATCCCCAGGGTTAGAGCATACAGTCCAGAAGTCAGGAGCTGAGCATTGGTCCCCTAATGTCTTTCAGAAATGAAGCCAGTCAGCTAAATCTACCCTATATGATAATCAAACCCTCAAGGTCATCAAATAGGATAAAAGAGAACAAAAGCCTCGAAAGGTCAGCAGCCTCAAAGATTGAAGGTGGATAAACCCACAAAGATGAGAAAGAATCAGTGCAAGAATCCTGACAACTCAAAAAGCCACAGTGCCTTTTTTCCTCTAATCTACCCCATTGCCTATACAGAAAGGGTTCAGAACTGGACTAAGATGGCTACAAATGACAGAAATAGAAATCAGAATATGCATGAAACGAAGATCATTGAGCTACAGGAGTATGTTGAAACCCATCCAAGGAAGCTAAGAACGATGATAAAACAATGCAGGAGCTGCCCAGCAAAAATAGCCAGTATAGAAAAAAACCAACTGACCTGATAGAACTGAAAAAGACACTACAATAATTTTATAATGCAATCACAAGTATTAAAAGCAGAATAGATCAAGTGGAGGAAAGAATCTCAGAGTTTGAAGACTGGATTTCTGAAACAAGACAATCAGACAAGAATAGAAATAAAAGAATGAAAAGGAGTGAACAAAACCTCCAAGAAATATGGGATTATGTAAAGAGACCAAATCTATGACTCATAGGCATCCCTGAAAGACATGGGGAGAAGGGAAGCAACTTGGAAAACACATTTCAGAATACCATCCATTAGAACTTACCCAACCTAGCTTGAGAGGGTAACATTCAAATTCAGGAAATGTAGAGAACCCTAGTTAGATAAGTTAGAAGAAGATCATCCGCAAGACACATAATCATCAGATTTTACAAGGTCAAAATGAAACAAAAAATTTTAAAGACATCTTAGAGAGAAAGATGAGGTCACCTACAAAGGGAAGATCATTAGACTAAGAGCAGACCTCTCAGCAGAAACCCTACAAGCCAGAAGCAATTGGGGGCCAATGGTCAACATTCTCAAAAGAAATTCCAAGCCAGAATTTAATATCCAGCCAAACCAAACTTCATAAGCGAAGGAGAAATAAGATCATTTTCAGGCAAGCAAATGCTGAGGAATTTCATTACTACCAGACCTGCCTTACAAGAGCACCTGAAGGTAGCACTAAATACAGAAAGGAAAGATCATTATCACCCACTACAAAAATACACTGAAGTACACAGACCAGTGACACTGTAAAGCAACCACATAAACAAGTCTGCAAAATAACCAGCTGACACGATGACAGGATCAAATCCATACATATCAATACCAACCTTGAATGTAAATGGGCTAAATGCCTCAATTAAAAGGCACAACCTTAGCAAACTAACGCAGGAACAGAAAACCAAATACCGCGTGTTCTCACTTATAAGTGGGAGCTAAATGGTAAGAACTTACAAGCACAAAGAGGGAAACAACAGACACTGGGATCTACTTGAAAGGAGAGGGTGGGAGGAGGGAGAGGAGCAGAAAAGATAACTACTGGATACTGGGCTTAATACCTGGGTAATGAAATAATATGTACAACAAACCCCTGTGACATCCATTTACCTATGTAACAAACCTTCACATGTACCCCAAAACTAAAATAAAAGTTAAAAAGCAAAAAAAGACACAGAATGGCAAACTGAATAAAGAAGCAAAACCCGTTGGTATGCTGTCTTTAAGAGTCCTATCTCACATGCAGTGACAAACATGGACTCAAAAGGATGGAGGAAGATTTACTAAGCAAATGGAAAACAGAAAAAAAGTAGGGGTTACGATCCTAGTTTCTGACAAAAGCCAAAAAGAGCAAAAAAAAAAAAGAAATGGCATTACATAATGGTAAAAGGTTCAATTCAATTCAACAAGAAGATCTAACTATCCTAAATATATATGTACCCAACACAGGAGCACGCAGATTTGTAAAGCAAGTTTTTAGAGACCTTCAAAGAGACATAGACTCCCATACAATAGTAGTGGAAGTCTTTAACACCACACTGAAAATATTAGACCAATCATCAAGAGAGAAAATTAACAAAGATATTCAGGACCTGAACCCAACAGTGGATCAAATGGACCTGAGAGACATCTATATAACTCTCCATCCAAAAACAACAGAATATACATTCTTCTCATCACCACATGGCACATGTTCTAAAATCAATCACGTAATCAGAAGTAAAACACTCCTCAGCAAATGCAAAAGAACAGAAATCATAACAATCTCTCAAACCACAGCACAAATTAGAAGCCAAAACAGAAATTTGCTCAAAACCATACAATTACATGGAAGTTGAATAACCTACTCCTGAATGACGTTTGGGTAAATAATGAAATTAAGGCAGAAATCAAGTTCTTTGAAACTAATGAGAACAAAGATACAACATACCAGAATCTCTGGGACACAGCTAAGGCAGTGTTAAGAGGGAATTTATAGCACTAAGTGCTCACATCAAAAAGTTAGAAAGATCTCAAGTTAACAACCTAACATCACAACTAAAAGAACTACAGAACCAAGAGCAAACAAATTCCAAAGCTAGCAAAAGACAAGAAATAACCAAAATCAGAGCTGAACTGAGGGAGATTCAGACACAAAAAAACATCCAGAAGATCAAAGAACACAGAAGCTGGTTTTTTGGAAAAATTAATAAAATAGACCATTAGCTAGACTAATAAAGAAGAAAAGAGAGAAGATTCAAATAAACACAATCAGAAATGACAAGGAGATGTTACCACTGACCCCACAGAAATACAAACAACCATCAAATAATATTATGAACACCTCTATGCACATAAACTAGAATATCTAGAAGAAATGGATGAATTTCTAGACACATACACCCTCCTAAGACTAAACCAGGAGGAAATTGAATTACTGAACAGACCAGTAATGAGTTCTGAAATTGAGGCAGTAATAAATAGCCTATGAACCAAAAAAGCCCAGGACCAGATAAGTTCACAGCCAAATTCTACCAAATATACAAAGAGCTGGTACCACTTCTACTGAAACTATTCCAAAAAAAAAATGCTTAGGTATTCCTAAGCAAAAAGAAGAAAGCTGGGGACATCACACTGCCCAACTTCAAACTATACTTCAGGGCTACAGTAACCAAAACAGCATGGTACTGGTACAAAAACAGGCACATAGACCAATGCAACAGACCATAAAACTCATTTTATGAGGCCAACATCATCCTGATACCAAAACCTAACAAAGATACAACAAAAAAGAAAACTTCAGGCCAATATCCCTGATGAACATAGAGACAAAAATCCTCAACAAAATACTGGCAAATGAAATCCAGCAGCACAGCAAAAATCTTATCTACCATGATCAAATAGGCTTTAGCCCTGGGATGCAAGGTTGGTTCATCATATGCAAATCAATAAATGTGATTCATCACATAAACAGAACTAAAGACAAAAACTACATGATTATCTGAAATGAAGCAGAAAAGGCTTTCATTAAAATTTAACATTCTTCATGTCAAAAAGTCTCAATAAGCTAGGTATTGAAGGAACATACTTCAAAATAGTAAGAGTCATCTATGAAAAACTCACAGCCAGCATCATATGGAATGTGCAAAACCTGGAAACATTCTTCCTGAAAACTGGCACAAGACAAGGATGCCCTTTCTCGCCACTCCTATTTGACATAGTATTGGAAGTCCTGGCCAGGGCAGTCAGGCAAGAGGAAGAAATGTAATCCAAATAGGAAGAGAGGAAGTCAAACTATCCGTATTTGCAGATGGCAGGATTCTATATCTATAAAACTTCATAGTCTTGGCATAAAAGCTTCTTAAACTGACAAACAACTTCAGCAAATTCTCAGGATACAAAATCAATGTGTAAAAATTACTAGCACTCCTGTACACAAAAAAACAGTCAAGCCAAGAGCCAAATGAGTAACGCAATCCCATTCCCAGTTGTAATAAATAAATAAACACACAAACTACCTAGGAATACAGCTAACTAGGAAGGTGAAAGATCTCTCTACAAGAAGCACAAAATACTGCTCAAAGAAATCAAAGATTACACAAACAAATGAAAAAATGTTCCATGCTCATGGATAGAAAGCATCAATATTGTAAAAATGGTCATACTGCCCAGAGCAATTTATACATCTAATGCTATTCCTATTAAACTACCATTGAGATTCTTCACAGAACTAGAAAAAACTATTTTAAAATTCATGTGGAACGAAAAAAGAGTCCAGATAGCCAAGGTAATCCTAAGCAAAAATAAGAAAGCTGGAGACATCATGCTGCCTGACTTCAAACTATACTGCAGGGCTACAGTAACCAAAACAGCATGCTACTGGTACAAAAACGGGCACATAGACCATTGCAACAGAATAGAGAACCCAGAAATAAAGCCACACACCTACAACTATCTGATTCTCGACAAACCTAACTCAAGCAATGGGGAAAGGACTCCTATTCAATAAATGGTGCTGAGATAACTGGCTAGCCATGTGCAGAAGATTAACAAACATTAACTTAAGATGGATTAAAAACTTAAATGTAAAACCCCAAAGTATAAAAACCCTGGAAGACAACTTAGGCAATACCATTCTGGACATAGGAGTGGGCAAAGATTTTATTAAGAAGATACCAAAAGCAATTGCAATAAAAGCAAACATTGACAAATGGGATCTAATTAAACTAAAGAGCTCCTGCACAGCAAAAGAAACTATCAACAGAGTGCACAGACAACATACAAAGTGGGGGAACATTTTTGCAAACTGCATCTGACAAAGGTCAAATATCCAGCATCTATAAGGAACTTAAATTTACAATAAAAATCAAACCTTATTGAAAAATGGGCAAAGCACTTGAACACCTTTCAAAAGAAGACATACATGTGGCCAATAACCATATGAAAAAAAGCTCAACTTAATTAGAGAAATGCAAATCAAAACCACAATGAGATACCATCTCACGCCAGTCAGAATGGCTGTTAAAACATCAAAAAATAACAGATGCTGTTATGGTTGCAGAGAAAAGGGAATGCTTTTACACTGCTGGTAGAAACAGAAACTAGTTCAGCCACTAGTGGAAAGCAGTTTGGATTCTTTTTTTTTTTTTTTTCTTTTTGAGACAGAGTCTCACTCTGTCGCCCAGGCTGGAGTGCAGTGGCGCGATCTCAGCTCACTGCAAGCTCCGCCTCCTGGGTTCACACCATTCTCCTGCCTCAGCCTCCCAAGTAGCTGGGACTACAGGTGCCCACCACCATGCCTGGCTAATTTTTTTTTATTTATTTAGTAGAGATGGGATTTCACCATGTTAGCCAGGATGGTCTCTATCTGCCTCATGATCTGCCTGCCTTGGCCTCCCAAAGTGCTGGGATTATAGGCGTGAGCCACCGCGCCCGGCTTGGATCTCAAAGAACTCAAAACAGAAGTGCCATTTAACCCAGCAATCCCATCACTGGATATATAACGAAGTAATAGAAATCATTCTACCATAAAGACACATGCACTCACATGTTCATCGGAACAGTTATTCACAATGACAAAGACATAGATCAACCTAGATGCCCATCAACAGTGGACTGGATAAAGAAAATATGGTACATATATACAATGGAATACTATGCATCCATAAAAAAGAACAAGATCACGTCCTTTGCAGGAACATAGATGGAGCTGGAGGTGATTATCCTTAGCAAACTAACAGAGAAACAGAAAAGCAAATACTTCATGTTCTCACTTATAAGTGGGAGCTAAATGATGAGAACACATGGACATGTAGAGAGAAACTACACACACTGGGGCCTATCAATGGGTGGAGGCTGGGAGGAGGGAGAGGATCAGGAAAAAGAATAATGAGTACTAGGCTTAATACTTGGGTTGAAAATAATCTGTACAACAAACCTCAGTGACACAAGCTTACCTATATAACAAACCTGTACATGTACCCCTGAACTTAAAAGTTAAGTAAAAAATAAATTCAAAAAAATTTAAAAAGAAAATATGGAACAAAATGTGGTAGTGAAAAGAACTAAAATTCGTGTAATTTGAATCCCAGAGAGAACAGGAAAGACAGAAATAATATTTGAAGAGACAATAGCTGAAAAATTTCAAAAGTAGCAAAAGATCTGTGGATTAAAGAAACACCATGCATCACAAGCATGATAATGCAAAAACATCTACAAAATCAAAATCAAAGAAAAATTCTCACAACAGAGATTATCCTCAAAGGAATAGCAGTAAGATAACTGACTTTTCAACAGATGTGATAGAAATCGAGAGACATGGAATATCTTCAAAGTGCTGAAAAGAAAAGAAACCAAAACTGTCAACTAAGAATTGTGTGCTCAGCGAAATGTTCTTCAAGAAGGAGGGTTAAATAAGTACATTTTCAGATGAAAACTGAGAAAATTACCGTTGACAGAATTAATCCAAATCCCAAAAAAGAAGGAAAAATCATCCTAGAATAAAGTTTGGAACTATGGAAGGGGTAAATATGGGAGAAAATCTAACGAGTATAAACTTTTAAAAATAATAATAATGGCTTTAAAATGTTTGAGGAGACTTGAAATATGAGCCAGCAATACCGTACATTTAGGAAGAGTGTAAATGGAGTTGAGATAGTCTCAGGTGCTTACATTATCCATTAGAAATAGGATACTAATTTATAGTAGAGGGTGGCAATTCTCAGAGGCATGTTACGATGTCTGGGCTGAGCACTACAGTAAACTAAAAGATTCTATCACTTCCAAGCTCATGGAGCAGGAAAGTGGAATAATAAAATGTAATTAATTCCAGTTAATAAGAAAGAATAGGAACAAAAAGAGAGGTGTTTTGTTTTGTTTTTTTAAAGTCAAGACATATAGGAAATACTAAGGTAGTAGATATAAACCCAGATGCCTTAGTAATTGCATTAAATTTTGCTGTACTACATGCTATAATTTTAAGAGTGATTTACCAGAGATTAACTAAATGAACCCACAATTACATGCTTTTAACCAAGGAGATTCGTAAAATACAAGAGTACAGAATGGGTGAAAATAAAAGGATAGAAAATATGTATACCATGGAAGTGCTAACTGAAAACATGCTGGTAATATCAGACATAGTAGAATTTAATGTGAAACAGATGATTACAGATTAAAAGGCGGTTTCCATAATGATACGAAATTATATTTGCCCAAAAGATATGACAGTTCTGAATGTGTAAGCACTCAATAACAAAGACTCAGAATACAAAAATGTGATAGCACTGAATGGCAGAACAGACAAATGCACCATTATAATAGGAAATATGAGCAGGTTGCTCTCAGTAAATAAAATAGCAACCAGAAAAAAAAACAGTAAGTTAAGATGCAATATTTGAATAATGCAATTAAGAAATCTCTTAAGGGACATATATAGAATACTAATACCGAAGACCTTCAAAATATGCATTCTCTAAGTACACGTGATAGTTTTCTGAAATTGACCAACTCAAAAAAAAAGCAACTCTCAGATTATAAAAGGATTGAAATTATTCAGATTATGTTCTTTGATGACAGTGAAAATTATGCTAGAAATCAATAATAAAAAGGTAACTAGAAAATCCTCAGCTTTTTCTAAGTTAAGCAGTATGCCTCTAAATGTTACTCACAGGTCAAAGAACTCACAATGGAAGTTAGAAAATATTTTCAACTGATTAATAAAGAAAATAACATAACGTCGGCGTTGCCACTAAGGCGATTCTTAGAGGGAAAGCTGTAATCTTAAGAGTATGTATTAGAAAAGAAAGTCTAAAAATAATGATGTCTTAGAATTTGTTGAAGAGGTTAGAAAAAGAACAGCAATCTAAACCCAAAATCATATAACACCTCGGGAACAGAGCACACTCGGTGAGAGACAGCAAGCATTAGAAACGCAAGATTGGACATCTATTCCCCAAGTATGCCAGATACTGAAGCAAACAAAATTAAACTATGTATAGGTAGTCCTTCCTTTGTATGAAGTGTAAGATTAAAAAAATGACCTTGCAAGCTGAAACTGTACAAAATTATCTTAATAATCAATGGGGGACAATTACGATATTTCTGTGACCTTTAAATTTTTTTTTTTTTTTTTTGAGACAGAGTCTTGCTCTGTCGCCCAGGCTGGAGTACAGTGGCTTGATCTTGACTCACTGCAACCTCCGCCTCCTGGGTTCAAGCAATTCTTCTGCCTCAGCCTCCTGAGTAGCTGGGACTACAGGCACACGCCACCATGCCCGGCTAATTTTTGTATTTTTAGTAGAGACGGGGTTTCACCACATTGGCCAGGCTGGTCTCGAACTCCTGACCTCGTGATCCACCCACTTCGGCCTACCAAAATGCTGGGATTACAGGTGTGAGCCACCGAACCTGGCTAAAAATTTTAAGACCCTAAAAACTGTCTTACTGTCAGTTATAATTATACTGCTTGTTATAACTACATTTTTTTATTAAATGAATTTTTTTTATTATACTTTAAGTTTTAGGGTACATGTGCACAATGTGCAGGTTAGTTACATATGTATACCTGTGCCATGCTGGTGTGCTGCACCCATTAACTTGTCATTTAGCATTAGGTATATCTCCTAATGCTATCCCTCCCCCCTCCCCCCACCCCACAACAGTCCCCAGAGTGTGATGTTCCCCTTCCTGTGTCCATGTGTTCTCATTGTTCAGTTCCCATCTGTGAGTGAGAATATGCGGTGTTTGGTTTTTTGTCCTTGCGATAGTTTACTGAGAGTGATGATTTCCAATTTCATCCATGTCCCTACAAAGGACATGAACTCATCATTTTTTATGGCTGCATAGTATTCCATGGTGTATATGTGCCACATTTTCTTAATCCAGTCTATCATTGTTGGACATTTGGGTTGGTTCCAAGTCTTTGCTATTGTGAATAATGCCGCAATAAACATACGTGTGCATGTGTCTTTATAGCAGCATGATTTATAGTCCTTTGGGTATATACCCAGTAATGCAATGGCTGGGTCAAATGGTATTTCTAGTTCTAGATCCCTGAGGAATTGCCACACTGACTTCCACAATAGTTGAACTAGTTTACAGTCCCACCAACAGTGTAAAGGTGTTCCTATTTCTCCACATCCTCTCCAGCACCTGTTGTTTCCTGGCTTTTTAATGATTGCCATTCTAACTGGTGTGAGATGATATCTCATTGTGGTTTTGATTTGCATTTCTCTGATGGCCAGTGATGATGAGCATTTTTTCATGTGTCTTTTGGCTGCGTAACAAAGAAATAAGACACTTTAATTCTCAGTGTTTCTGATATTTTAAAGTACAGTGTACTAAATATTAATTTTACTATTTTTTCATTTCATTTTACAATCAATTTAAAGGATTAGGATAATTGATAAGTTATGATGCAGATAACCATATGATGAAAATGATGGAATATTATGTCATCTTTAAAATATTTGCAGAAAACTTTTTAGAATGTGAGAGAATGCATATGTCTGAATACTACGGTTAAAAAGACAGATTATAGTATTAGCAATACAGTATGTCATTGGTCTATTTTTAATGGAAAGTAAAAATTCTGCTAGAAAATATATTACAGAATTAATAATGGTTTTTTTCATAGGACTTGGGGTATCTTTTCTAAAACTTGTTATATTTCTATACTGATCATTTTCTCTATTAGGTAAACATTTCATATAGGAAAAATAAAAGTTTTTAAAAACACTGTTAGATATTTAAAAATAAAAACTGTCTTAACCAATACTTGTAAGTTTTTTAATTAGAGAATAATTTTCAAGCTCTGTCCTTTCTTCAGAGTAATTAATTTTTTTGTTTCTAAAGTGTTTACCTTCTCAGTTTTATTGTATTTGATGAATTTTGTTTTCAATAAATATGTTTTGACATCAAGATTTAAGTTTTCTTGTTTCAAAGGAGATTTGTAATATTAGTAAATCATTCACCTCTAAATGTTTTAGGTAGATGGATGTAGTTTATTTTGTTATTTTCACTTTGTAATGTATTTACTATAAATATTTTCTGCTTATGATTATATGAAATAAGAGTGTTTTCTGAAAATGTACTTTTTTTCTCTTAAGTATGTATTATTTTAAATTAAAACAATCATTCTTTTAAGTTGTACCTTCCTTGCTTTTTTTTGTAGTTAAGGCATGAAATATCTGTAATTTACCTTAATGTTAAGATTAAAGTCAATTTTAAGCCTTTCAGTATTATTGTTGATCTTATATAAGGATGTGCTGAAAAATAAAGCTTCTGATGTCTTGGTTTTATAGCCAGCGACCATTTTCTTCTCTTTGCTTGTTAACTGGAATTAGTAAGAAGTCCAGTGAGTTTGGTGAAACACGCTGAAGAAAATAGCAAATAATTCTACAGGATTTAATATATAATTTTCATTTAATTGACTAGATATACATAGATATTTTAGAATTTTTCTGAATGGCTTATTTTATCATTTAATAAGAGATAATATCTGAATTTTACTCTTTTGAAAATTTTTGAAAAATTGAAACCTCTCTAGGACAAACTGAATCATGCTTCAGTTAATTGTGATCGATTTAATGCATTGAAATTGTTATATAATCTTTTGATTCTTATAGCACAGTATTTAATGGTAATTAAACACTTCTAATTTTTTATTTGAAGTCTACTTAAAAATGATTTTGTTTAAAGAGTTATTGTTGACCCAAATGTTTAATTGACCTCGAAACAGTAATTACTGTTACGAAAATGACTTGAGGCTATCATGTTAACTATTTGTTTCAAAGGTTGCACAGTGAATTAAAAGATGCTGTTGAAAAAAAATTGGAGGCCTTTCCCCTGGGCACAGAGGTAGGAACTGACATATATGCAGATGATGAAACAGTCAGAAACCTTCAAGAACAATTGCAGCTAGCCAATCAAGTGAGTGACATGTATTTTTAAAAATTATATTCTGAATTAACATACCTTTTTAAAAATTCATGTTAATCATTATTTATGGATAACAAAATAATAAAATTGTAACATTATGATTTTTTACAGTTTATAAGAATCGTTACAGGTAGCAACACTTGTAATAAATACCCTCACTGTTAGAAACGTACTTGCCAAATACCCTCACTGGTTGTTACAAATGTGTTTAATTAAAATCATAAAGATTTTGACGTGAGTTTTTTTCTTATGAGAATATTTTTTCTTTCTTTTTTTTCTTTTTCTTTTTTTTTTTTTTAATTATACTTTAAGTTCTAGGATACATGTGCAGAACGTGCAGGTTTGTTATATAGGTATCACATGCCATGGTGGTTTGCTGCACCCATCAACCCATCATCTATGTTAGGTATTTCTCCTAATGCTATCCCTCCCCTAGCCCTCAACCCCACAACAGGCCCTGGTGTGTGATGTTCCCCTCCCTGTGTCCATGTGTTCTCATTGTTTAACTCCCACTTATGAGTGAGAACATGCAGTGTTTGGTTTTCTGTTCCTGTGTTAGTTTGCTGAGAATGATAGTTTCCAGCTTCATCCATGTCCCTGAAAAGGACATGATCTCATCCTTTTTTATGGCTGCATAGTATTCCATGGTGTATATGTGCCACATTTTCTTTATCCAGTTTATCATTGATGGACATTTGGGTTGGTTCCAAGTCTTTGCTATTGTGAATAGTACTGCAATAAACATACATGTGCATGTGTCTTTATAGGAGAATGATTTATAATCCTTTGGGTATATACCCAGTAATGGGATTGCTGGATCAAATGGTATTTCTAGTTCTAGATCCCTGAAGAATTGCCACTCTGTCTTCCACAATGGTTGAGCTAATTTACACTCCCACCAACAGTGTAAAAGTGTTCCTATTTCTCCACGTCCTCTCCAGCACCTGTTGTTTCCTGACTTTTTAATGATCACCATTCTAACTGGCATGAGATGGTATTCTATTGTCATTTTGATTTGCATTCCTCTAATGACCAGTAATAATGAGCTTTTTTTCATATGTTTGTTGCCTGCATAAATATCTTCTTTTGAGAAGTGTCTGTTCATTTCCTTTGCCCACTTCTTGATGGGTTTGTTTTTTTCTTGTAAATTTGTTTAAGTTCTTTGTAGAGAGAATATTTTAATGTCAATGAAAATTTTTAAAGGAAAAAATCCATTATTTCTCTAAATTTGTATTTTTCAGTGTTCTTTTTTCTGATATTGTTTTCAGAATATTAAGAGTACTATATTTTTCTAACATTATATTTCTTCTAGAATTATACTTTTTCTTTTTCTCTCATAGTAATTAGAATCTTTGAGCAGCTATGTTAAATATATCCTGTTTTTCAACTAATTTTTTGTGAATTTTATTCATAAGGGAATTGTATTTAAATTTACAGTGTTATATCCCAAATGTTTCATATCTTGTATGGGTTTAAATCCCCATTCTTCTACTTTCCAGGTGTGTGATCATAGAAAAAAACTCTTGTGCCTCAGTTTCCTCATTTATAAATGGGGGCTACAAATTCTAAATTACAATTTTGATTTGATAATTATCTGAAAATTCGGTTTTATTTCCTGAAAATTTGGTTTTAAAATTCTATAATTATGAAAGTGATATTTTAGGTAAGTCAGAAAGGCTATATTTAGCTTGATAAGGAACATGTATTTAACACTAATTTTTTTTAATGTATGAATGGAAAGAATTTTTAAATATGATGAAAGAAAGAAATAATGAGGAAAGCATGCTGTTTGTTCTAGACTAGGAAAGATTTATAATTGATTTCATGGGATTAAATAGAAATTAATTTAGGCTTATATGTCTAGCACATATGTACGTTAATAAATTTGCCTATTTATCATTATTATCATTATTGAACAGCAAGACTCACAAATAAGAATTAAAATTATGTACAAAAGGTGCTGTGTAGTGTATATATGTTGCTTTAGGAGCCAATAGCAATAGCACAATGCTAAGTACCTAGCTTAATATTTTCAGTTTAAAATATTTTTTCTGTTACAGTATGATTTGTAGAAATCTTTCTAGAAGTCAGTTTGGAAGAAGAGCCTTAGAAATGTTTGCATTATTTGATCCAGTAATTAGATGATGACACCACATAGATTTTATGAATTTGTTCTAAAGAACTGAATATAAAAATTTTTGAATAAATATATTCATTATAATATTTATCGTAATGAAACATTTGACATAGTTTAAAAATCTTAAATATGGAATCAGTTAAATTGTAGTTTGTCCAAATAGTAAGTTGTACCATTTTTAAAAATTATATAGTGTACATCATAATCACTTGAGGGCTTTTTGAAACATGGATTTCTGCTGTGCCTCCCCACCCCCCCACCACCCCAGTTTCTGATTCAAGAAGTCTGGGAAAGAGCTCAATAATTTACATCTCTAACAGTTCTGAGGTGTTGCTGATGATGCTGATCCTTTAAGAACCACTGCTCTAGGAGAATCTGGGTTGTGTAACTACTAGTCTAGGTGATTTTTGTCGTCAGACAGGTCTGGAGAAACAGTGGGACATTTTGAGGTATGAGGCATTTTTACGACCATTTTACTGAAAAGAAAACTTGAGTCTTAAGGAAATGAAGTGAATTATCCAGGACTATTTAGCCAGGAATTAGAGATCACACCCATATCTTCTGGCTCCATATTCTGTGTTTATCTACAAATTTTAAAACCGCTTTTAAAATTTTTAATTAGCCTACAGTTTTTGTTTTTTTTTTTAAGTTTTAGACAAAACTAATCTATGGTGTTAGGAACACGAGGAAATGGTTATTTAGGAGAAGAGTATAGTAACTGGAAGAGATCACAAGAGGGTCGTCCAGCTTCTAGGTGATGGTAATGTTCTTTCTCTTGAACTGGGTGCTGGTTACATAAGCGCACTTGCTTTATAAAAATGTACAATTTGTTCATTTTCTGAATGCATGGTATACCTCAGTGTACTCCAAGGTGCCTTATGTTTTTTGTGGGTTACATATCTATCAGTATTTATTGTATTACAAATTAAAACTGAGACTTAAAAAAAAAGTAGGAGCATAAGCATGTAGTCCATTAGCCCTTAGAGCAAGGATGGCATCACATCATATAAACTTTAGAAAACTTCACTGTACATTTGTGAGAGGATGAGAGTAAAAAGGCGAAAAATGTTAACATATTATTCTGAAGATAAATTTGACTTCTAGGACCTTTCAAAGTTTAAAAGTTTCTGTACCACACTTAGATAATACTGTATGCAAACAATAGTGACCTGAGAAAATTATAATTATAAAATCATTATAAAATGGCAAGTAAAAATAGCCCACTATATTGTCCCTAATTTTGTTAAAATAATTACAAAATTCTCACCCAGAATCACATTTATAAACATGAATGCATCAACATTTAAAAAGATGATTTATCTAGATATTAGCAATATTTATTATCAGGTAGTAAAATTATAGGTGATTCTGATTTTCTCCTGTTTTTCTCTGTATTTTCCTAATTTTCCACAATGAAAATTTATTACTTTTATGATCAGGAAAAAAATATTGTACTTTACCAGGAGGCAGTTTTCTTCTTCATCAGTTTCTAGGGCTTATACTTTCTTGTGGAACAAAGAACATGGTTTAAATCTACATCTCTGTTAAGGATTTTAATTTTAGCTAAATCTGAGTAAAACCACAATTTCAAAATAAGGAACTTTATGTCTTCAAGTTTACTCTCTAAATTATTAATAATAAAACTTCATATCAAAAATATAACTATAATACCATCTTTACACAGTTCTATTTTATTTTATGACTTTATAAGAACTTATTCTATAAAAGAAAATGATCCATTTGTACTATACAATAAATAGCCTGCTGATAATTTAATGAGTTATCAAACTTTTTTAATAGGAAAAAACTCAGGCTGTGGAACTCTGGCAGACTGTTTCTCAGGAGTTGGACAGACTACACAAGCTTTACCAGGAACATATGACTGAGGCCCAGATTCATGTATTTGAAAGTCAAAAACAAAAGGTAATCTTGGATTTCATCATTTTCTTGTATATCAATAAGAAATTGCACTCTGAAGAAACTGTTTTAGAGGGGAACGCTTAAGACTCTACCCTATAGCATTTAGAATTTCTAATCACTTTATTATTTATGTTAATAATATATAGATCTTTGATGGTTACACTATTGAACAGGTAAACTAATTAGAGAACTGGACAGTGATCATTTGGTTCTATAATGTTGTCAGCAATGAAAGCTGAATTTAGTGCTAAAGAGCAACTTTAACATTATTTTGTATAAATAAACCTTCAAAGTTTTTATTTGCTTGATTTCCTACCTGACTTTTAAAACAAAACAAAACAAAATTGTTTATTAGTTTATGGCCAGTGAAGAAACCTGCTCAAATACAGTGGAAACACTATGTAAAATCAAATGTTAATACCCTTAAATGTGACCTGTTACTAAAATAGGTGTCAATTTTGTCTATCATAAATTAATCAGAATAGAATTTTACAACAGGAAGGTATCTTAATGGTTATTAAAAGACTTTTTTCTACCCAAAGCAAGAATCATTCTACACTCTTTCAAAGTGGACATCTAGCTTTAGCTTTTGCTTTACACGTCTATTGACAAGAACTCATTATCTCACAAGGCCATCTATTCCATTTGGAAATCTACCTCTTTTATTCTTCTGTTGGTTCTTTTATTGCTAGGTGCATTGAGCACTATGGAGGAATTCTAATTCTGACCTCTTTTCTATGTATTTTGAGAGGAAGCTCTTTAAATAAGTTGGTTTTCATACCTCTCTTCAGCTCTCATTTACAGACTTTTCAAATTCTGGTTAATGAATATTCCTATTATTGTAATTATAATTAGAAATATCTACCTAAAGAAATTGTAAAAATACTTATGTGATGCTTTACAGTTTACAAAATGATTTTTCTTTACATGCCCTGGCTTGAAAAAAAGTCCACATGTAATCAATCTGATTTGTTGGACTTTTACCTCTGAGATTTAAAAACCATTTTTCATATTAAGTTCTTTGAGGACTGTTTCCTCATTTAGGTCAATCAACTAAGCCCACAAGGTTGGGTTTTTGTTTTGTTTTCACCTGAATAATATCATTCTTTTACTATAGCTACATAGTTTGATGGGTCCTTATACAAGACTTTACAAATAGCACTTCATTCTTTTTTCCCTGGTTATCTATTTAATTCTGTCTTTCAGTATATTTACAGCCTCTCCCAACTTTGTGTCGTCTGTACAAATAATGTTTAATAGAATCATAACAGCTAATCAAACAATTTTTAAAATGTGGGGCATGAGAATGTTTTTAAAAAAGGTGGGCAGTAACTCCTGTGCCATGGTTTGTATTATAGGTTTTGAGTAGGTTTGAAAGTGACGTTCCAATATTGGACAAGGTCTCTCTAGCATTTAGAATTTCTAATCACTTATAATTTTTTATGATCTCTTTCTTCAAGTTTTAAAATAATATTTAATAAATGATTTCTAGAAATAATTATTTGACATAAAATAAACAGCCACATTAATTTCAGCATTGCCACTTTAATTTTTTAATCATTTAAAAAATTTCTTAGTTTTTCAACTACTAATTCACACAATAGTAATAAGAAACACTACTAATTTTATCTAAACTTAGGCATAATGATTTTAGACTTGATTTTAGTTTAATTTTAAATATGGGTTATAAACAACAAAATGCTATTTATATACTCCCCTTACCTTCCCACTGTAGGATCAGCTATTTGATTTTCAACAACTGACCAAACAACTTCATGTTACTAATGAGAACATGGAAGTGGTAAGTATACTTATTTATATAAACTAGAAATTGTCCCTATAAATAATCATATTTATTTATGTTAATATAAATCAACAATAAGCATGCTGCACGAAATTAGATAATACTGTTTTTTCTTTTGCTTTTGCTTTCTCATTCAATAGCATGACACAGTTTACAGTACCTTTTGGAGATCTAACATCTCTCTGAAATATATCTTAATCTGGAAATCCTCTTAGGATTCTTAGTAAGGTCTCCTTAGACTAATCTAGACAGTGAGTTCCTCAAGAGTAGAGTACATGCTTAATTTTTTTTATTTCACCTGACACACTGCCAGGTATTTAATAAGAATAGTGTAATTGTTTAATGAATTAATAGCCCATTGCCTAAAAAGTTTTAGGAAACTAAGGACCATGTGTTGGTATGGTACTCCTAAATTTCCCTATAAGTTTCTCCTAAAATAAATAGAATTAGTCTTTCCAGTTCTGCTCTTTACCTTCTTATTCTCTCACTTTTGTTTTCTTTACTTTCTTGGAATGTTATTTTTACCTCATTGTTGAGTAATAGAATTATGACACTTCAGGTAATTCCTCTCTCTTTCCCTTCTTCATTCTTGCTTAGTTACTCTGCTAATTCTTGTTAGTACCTAATAAAAATGTCTTTGTATAACAATGGATTTGTGCTATCAAAAGTAAGTATCCAATTTTATTCTACTTTAAAAATTTTTCTTTTTTAACCATGTAAAAAATTATTAAACCAATCTGTACCTATTCTGTTAACATTTGAAGTGTCTAATTACATACAGTTTTTGATACTATATTATACTTCTTAGAGTTTTAAAATACTAGTACTCCAGAACAAAATGGTTACTGATTTCTATAATTAAGAAAGGCATTTTTTAATTTAATATATTTCTATATGGAATTAGTACTTTAACCTAGCATCATAATTATTCATTACTTCTTCAATATGTCTCCTAGAATTGGAATTGTATCATTCTTTGATATATCATATCACAGAGCCCCTATTTTATTATGATTTTGATGAAAGAAAGTCATGGGAAAAGGATGTTGTATATTCCAAGGGAATATGTTAAAAATTTCTAAGGCAGAAGTATTCATGGTTCCAGGTCAGAGCTAAGAATAAACTGGATACGAGAAAACTGATAAAGAAATGGCATGATGAATAAAAGAGAGTTTTATAAAAATATAGAAAAGACTATATAGGTGGTTAAGATAAAAGTAAATGGTTGAAAGAAATTTTAAAATTTAAGTTGTTCTTAATGTATATAATGAATAGCAAACAAGACTGATAAGTATAAAGGGAGCAAGCAAAGTGATAAGATCTTGTACAGTTCAAAGAGCATTCAGAACATAGTTATGGGGGCAAGTATGAGTCAAGATCAAACTTGAAGAAAAGTGCCCTTTAAAAATCAAGAAGTTTCCAACAAAAAATTTTCTGATTACACGAATAAACTCATTAAATGAATAGATTTTTATAGATGTAGAATAAATTGATGAGTATGCAGTGAGTAAATAAACTGTCTTTCAATATAATTTGACTAACATGGCAGAGTAGGACATCCTGGACACTCCTTCTCCCCACAGATACACCAATTCAGCAACAATTCATGGACAAATTTCCTTTGCAATAAATCAGAAATGAATGGAAATGTTCTCACTTCCTGGGGGATTGGAAAACCAGACTCACCAAAGCTAGCAGGGAGATTTGAGACCCTCTCTTGCTAGGCACCCTGTCCCCAGTGCCGTGCCATGTGATCAAAAAAAGACCCCTTAGCTCCCAGCTTCACCCAGGGGAGGGAAGGGATTAGGTATGTGCATTCATCACCCCAAATTTTCTGAGGGTGGTCCCCAGAATACTGGCCTCTATCTTGCCAGTCTCGGAGCTCACAGATCCAGCATAGTCTGGCCAACCAAGGGAGAATGGAGGCATTGGTTTGGACTGATAGTTGGCATTGGTCCTGTGCTCTTCTCAGCACAGAGTAAGTAGATGAAAATTCAGTTCTCAACTTTCCCCTAGGGAGGGGAAAAGTTGATCCAGCACTGCAGCTTCTCTAGGGCAGCCCAGAGAAATAGCATCTGTCTCACGAAGCTCTAATAGGTCCAGCATGGTCTAGACACCTAGGGAAGAACAGAGACAGCAGATTGGGCTGATACATGCTATAGTTCCCTACCCCCCAGCTCATCACAGAGCAAGCAGACAAAGCCACAGCTGCCAGCATCTCCCTGGGGAGGGAAAGAGTTGGTAGAGGCCTGCTGAATCTCTGGCCAGCTGATTTGTGGGGGTCTTCTCTTGTATGACACTAATCTGTGAAGACTGGGAGAGGTGCCTGCTTTCTCTAATGTACGGACGTGAGCACAAAGTCAAGGAAAAATGAAGAACCAGCTAAAGATGTTCCATACAAAGAAATAAGATAAATCTCCAGAAACCAATCCTAATGAAAAGAAGTTATGAATTACCTGATAGGGAATTAAAAATAACTCTCATGAAGATGCTCACCACAGTTAAAAGAACAATGTATGAACAAAGTGAGAGTTGCAACAGAGAAAAAATATTAAAAAGTAGCACACAAATTATGGACCTAAAGAACACAATAACGGAATTAAAAATGGAGTTGGGAAATCTAGATATTCGTATTCAAAACATGATTTTGGACTCTTATCTTACACAACACACAAATATCAACCCAAAATGGATTAAAGACTTAAATCTAACACCTCTTACTTATAAAGTTCTTAGAAGAAAACCTAGGGGAAAATCTCCATGGCATCGGTCTTGGCAACGATTTCATGGATATGACACCAAAAGTACAGACAGCAGGAAAAAAGTAATCAAGTGGGACTGCATCAAACCAAAAAGTTTTTGCACAGCAAACGAAACCAGCAGAGTGAAAAGGCAACCTATGGAATGGGACAAAATATTTGCAGACCGTATATCCAATAAGGGAATAATCTCCAAAGTATTTAAGGAATTTCTATAACTCAGCAGTAAAAAACAAAAGACACACAAAAAAACCTAATAAGTTGATTTTTAAATGAGCTAAGTACTTAAATAGGTATTTTTCCAAGGCAATGGGTATGTGAAGAAATGCCCAATGCTCGATGTCACTAAACATTAGGGAAACATAAATACTAAAACTACAATGATGTATCACCTCACACGTGTCAGAGGGATTATTATCAAAACAAAAAAGACAACACGTGTTGAAGAGGATGTGGAAAAATTGGAAACCTTGAACATTTTTGGTGGGATTGCAAAACGGTGCATCTGCCATGGAACACAGTATAGAGTTTCCTCAAAAAAATAAAAATATAACTACCATATGATCCAGAAATCCCACTTCTGAATATTTATCCCAACGTATTGAAATTAAGATCTTGAAGAGATATTAGCATTCCTGTGCTTATTGCAGCATATTCACATTAGCCAAGATACGAAAACAACCTTAGATGTCCATCAAAGAGGAGTGGATTAAAATGTATAAACATACAGTGGAATGCTATTCAGCCTTTAAAAAGAAGGAAATTATGCAATATGTGATAACATGAATAAACTTTGAGAGCATTAAATGAAATAAGCCAGTCACAGAAAGACTAAACACTGTATGATTTTACTTATACGAAGTATCTATAGTAGACAGATTTATAGAAACAGAGATTGGAATGGTGACTTCCAGGGCCTTTGGTGAGAAGAAATGGGGACTTACTAATCAACACACATGAAGTTTCGGTCAAACAAGATGAATAACCTCTAGAGATCTGTGCAATATTGTACCTGTAGTCAGCAATAACGTATTGTACACTTAAACATGTTTTAAAAGTGCATAACTCATGTAAGTATTCTTACTACAAATTGATACAAATAAATATCTTTCTTTACCAATGCAAATTAGTAATATGCAATAGATATGCTCTGACATGAATGGTACATAAAAGTATATATTTCTATTTATTATGCTGTAGATAGATTATAATTTTACATTTCCCATAGGTTTGCTTTACTGAAATGTTTTTTAAGATTTGCTCATCTCTATAATTTACTCAAAAATATTTAATTGCATACTAACTATCCTGCATGAAAGTATAGGTTCTCTAAGTTGCAAAAATGCATCAACCATAAAATCTCTGTCTCCGTGGTAAAACAGGCTGACATATGAAATAATCAGTGAAAAAGGTGCTAAATAGATGATGGTTGAAAAGGATGCTTCCCTGCACCTTCTCGAGTCTCCTAATTCTAAAATATTAATATAGTACATAATTTTCTTTATGGTCATAAATATAGAACAACAATGCCATATTCAGATGCAGTTGCGGAGCTCTTACTAGGCTTGCTAGCAAGTTAAGCACCTTGGTTTCCAGCACTAGATTCTTAAAATGCAGAATTTTAGCTTATACTTCTGTTAATTGCTCTATGTAATTCTATCTTTGAGGTGTTCCCAAATGGTCAAAAACACAAGCATTAATTATGCTAGTGCCAAGGCAGTATATATAATAAAACACTAGTTGTGCCTGTGATGTACTCAATCATGTGCCAGGCACTAGGAGTTCTGGGAAAAGCTGATCCTTTAAAAAGGCTCATATTTTAGTCAGGAATACCTACACTTTAATATTTAAATATAATGTGCACTGTAAAGGCATGTATTAAGTTTTATCAAAGTACAGAAAGGAAACAGTTAATTCTACCTGAGAATGAGTAAACCACACATGGTATTGAGGAATGAATGCAGACAGAATGAGGACATCCTGGGCAGAGGAAAATACGATAGTATGTTAAAAATATGAAGTCAGTGAGCTCAGAGCATGAGAGAAGCACAATGAAAGCTATCTCAGGGACTTTAGTTGGAGAAATTTAAGCATGGTATGTTGGGACAGGATTAAATCAAAACTATTAAGATCAATCGGGAGCAACCATAATATATAAAGAAAAGGGATAAGGAATTTGTATCATCATGGATAAAACCAGCAGTTATGGAAGAAAATCAATTCCCTTAGGAAAAGTTTTTCTACATCTAGAAGACTACTTCATATCTTACTGTGGATTTCTCCAGAAGCTGACCTTCAGGAAAAAGTTCCAAAACGTGTCATTTATTTAGTAGGTAATACCAGGGAGCACCAGTAAGAAGGTGGGGAAGTGGTATCAAGAGAAGAGAAGACAGCCAATAAAGGGCTTTTTAAAATTAAGCAAGTTAACACTGTGAGTAACTAAAACTTAATGAATTCTGAAAGACAGTGTAGAACACAAGCCTCAGAATTATTTCACCCATGCAAGAAGGGAGTTTGGGTTTTTTATATACCAGTTCCCTTCAGACATGTCAGGCTGCTCAGAACAGGGTGGAACATTAGTTCTATAACACTTATAGCTTTATGCCCAGGTGGATAGATGAGCAAAAGAGATTCAGATAGCCAAAGAAAGCCATAAGACAGGAATGCAGGTGTAGGTAGTTTCAAGTGAAGCAGGTATCCAATGAAGTAGTAAAGGCAAGGAAAGAAGGCCAAGGTTATGTTTTACCCTCAAAAAATCTAATCTTTATCATAAATCTCACTAAACTTTTTTTCTACTTGTATGTCTGATGTGTCATCTTTAAAGATACAGTTATTAAATATTCTAATACTGATTCTTTTTTTTTCTTGTGGCAGACTAACCAACAGTTTCTGAAAACAGTAACTGAACAAAGTGTGATAATCGAACAACTCCGAAAAAAACTTAGGTATTTTCAAAAATGAGTTTCATTATTTCATTGTTAATTATTTTTCTTCAGGGGAGCTGATGATGCTATAATTTTCCCCATGGGTGTTTTTTTGCCTTCCTTTTGTTAAGCTTCTGCCAATATCTTCTTGTGTATATGATCTGTTAGGATGGGAAGAAACTGAAATCAAGATTATTAGGAGATAACTGTGATATACAGTCAGACCTTTAAATACACAGATGTTCAAGTCCTTTATATAAAATGACAAAGTATTTGTATATAGCCTATGCACATCTTCCCATATATTTTAAATAATCTGATAACTTATAATACCTAGTATAATGTAAATGCAAATAGATTATATACTGTATTGTTTAAAAATTTTTATTTTTTATTGTTTTAAAAAATATTTTCAATCTGCAATTGGTTGAATCCACGAATGGGGAACCCACAAATCATCTGAGCATTTTTTCATATACCTATTGTCCATTTATTTGTATGTCTTCTTTTGCAAAATTACTATTCAGGTATTTTGCCCATTATTTGTTCTTTTTCTTCCTCTCGAGTTGTTTTAGCTCCTTATATATTCCAATTCTGGTTATTAATCCCTTGTCCAGTGGGTAGTTTACAAATATTTTCTTCCATTCTGTGGGTTTTTTTATTTACTTATTGTTTCCTTTGCTGTCCAGAAGCTTTTTAGCTTGATACGATCCCATATGTACATTTTTGCTTTGGTTGCCTGTACTTTTGAAGTCCTCCTCAAGAAATCTTTACCCAGATGAATGTCTGGAGTGTTTCCCCAACATTTTCTTCTAGTAGTTTCATAGTTTCAGGTCTTAGATTTAGTCTTTGATACAGTTTGATTTGATTTTGGTATATGGCAAGAGATAGGGGTTGAAAATGCGTTGACTATAAATGCATTGATTTATTTCTGGGTTCTCTGTTCAGTTCATCTGTGTCTGTTTTTATGCCAGTACCATTCTGTTTTGGTTACTATACATTTGTAGTATAATTTGAAGTCAGTTAATGTGATGCCTCTAGCTTTGTTCTCTTTGCTCAGGATTGCTTTGGCTATTCTGTGTCTTGTTTGGTTCCCTTTAAATTTTAGGATTTTTTTTCTATTTCTGTAAAGAATGTCATTGGTATTTTGATTGCATTTAATCTATAGATTTGATTGCTTTGGGTACTATGGATATTTTAACAATGTTGATTCTTCTGATTCATGAACATGGAATATCTTTCCATTGTTTTGTGTCATCTTCAATTTCTTTCATCAGAGTTTTATAGTTTTCTTTTAGAGTTATTTTACTTCTTTGGTTTTTTGTTCCTGAGTATTTTGTTTTATTTGTAGCTATTGTAAATGGGATTACTTTCTTGTTTTTTTTTTCAGACTGTTCAGTTGGCATATGGAAATAATACTGATTTTTGTTCGTTGATCTTGTATGTGGCAACTTAATTTATCCAATCTAATAGTTTTGTTGGTTGAATCTTTAGGTTTTTCTAAATATAAGATCATGTCATCTGCAAACAAGGATAATTTGACTTCTTCCTTTCCAATTTGGGCTCCCTTCATTTCTTTCCCTTGTCTGACTGTTTTGGCTAGGACTCCTCATACTGTGTTGAATAACAGTGGTGAAAGTAGGTATCCTTGTCTTGTTCCAGATATTAGCAGAAAGGCTTTCAGTTTTTCCCCATTCAGTATGATATTACCCGTGGGTTTGTCATACATGACTTTTACTTTGTTGAGATATGTTTCTCCTATACCCAGGTTTTCTTTAGAGTTTTTATCACAAAGAGATGTTGAATTTTATCAAATACTTTTTCAGCATCAATTGAAATTATCATATGGTTTTTGTCTTTTGTTGATACATCACATTTATTGATTTTCACATGTTGAACCATCCATGCATCCCTGGGATGAATCCCACTTGATCATGAAGAATGATCTCTTTAATGTGTTGTTGAATTGAGTTTCCTAATATTTTGTTGAGGATTTTTGCATCTGTGTTCATCAGAGATGTTGGCCTATAGCTTTCCTTATTTTGTTGTGTCTTTGTCTGGTTTTGGTAGCAGGGTGATACTGACTTCATAGAATAAGTTTGGAAGTATTCCTTTCACAATTTTTTGGAATAGTTAGAGTAGGATTGGTATTATTTCTTCTTTAAATGTTCAACAGAATCCAGCAATGAAGACATCAAGTCCTAGTCTTTTCTTTGATGGGAGATTTTTTTATTGCCACTTCTATCTCCTTGTTTGTTATTGGTCTATTCAAGTTTTGTATTTCTTCATGGTTAAATCTTGGTAGGTTGGATGTTTCTAGGAATTTATTCATTTCTTCTAGATTTTCTAATTTATTGGCATATAGTTGCTCATAATAGTTTCTTATGATATTTTGAATTTTTGTGGTTTCAGTTGTAATATCTCCTTCATCTCATTTTATTTACCTGAGTCTTCTGTATTTTTTTTTGGATTGGCTAAAGGTTTATTGATTTTGTTTGTCTTAAAAAAACAACTTTTTTTCACTTATCTTTTGTATTTTTTAGTCTGAATTTTATTTATTTCTGCTCTGCTCTTTATTATTTCTTATACTAATGTTGAGTTTGGTTTTCTCTTGCTTTTCCAGTTCTTTAAGATATATCCTTAGGTTGTTTATTTGAAGTTTTTCTACTTTTTGATGGAGGTATCTATTGCTATAAACTTCACTTTTAGTACTGCTTTTGCTGTATCTATAGGTTG
Organism: Homo sapiens; assembly: GCF_000001405.40. NCBI lineage: Eukaryota > Metazoa > Chordata > Mammalia > Primates > Hominidae > Homo > Homo sapiens. The sequence continues at coordinate 128,989,451 of NC_000004.12, read as the reverse complement.
TGATACATTGTGTTTCTATTTTTATTTGTCTCAACAAATTTTTAAATTTCCTTCTAAATTGGTTAATTGACCCAATGGTCATTTAGGAGCGTATTGTTTAATTTCCTTGTTTGTGTGGTTTTCAAGTTCCTCTTGTTACTGAATTTTAGTTTTATTCCTTTGTAGTCAGAAAAGATACTTTATATGATTTCAGCTTGTTTGAATTTTGGGGACTTGTTTTATGGCCTAATATATGTTCTGTCCTTGAGACTGTTTAATATACTGAGAAGAAAAACATATATTTTTCACCTGTTGGATGAAATATTCTGTAAATGTTTATTAGGTCAATGTAGTCTATAGTACAAATTTAATCTGATGTTTCTTTGTTGGTATTCTATGTAGATTATCTGTCCAATTCTGAAAGAGGGGTGTTGAAGTTCTCAGCTGTTATTTTATTGGTGTCTAACTTTATCTTTAGTTCTAATATTTGCTTTATATTATCTGGATGTTCCAGCATTGAGTACATATATATCTACAATTCTTATATCCTCTTGTGGGATTGACCCCTTTATCATTATATAATAACATTTTTGACTCTCTTTACAATTTTTGTCTTGAAATCTATTTTATCTGGTGTAAGTATAGCTACTCTTGCTCTTTTGGGGTTTCTGTTTGCATGGACTGTCTTTTTCCATTCCTGTATTTTCAGTCTTTGGGTGTCTTTATAGATGAAATGAGTTTCTCGTAGGCAGCATATGATTAGGTCTTATTTTTTATCCATTCAGCTACTCTTTTTTTTATTGGAGAATTTAGTCCAGTTACATTTAATGTTATTAGTAATAGGAAAGGACTCACTACTGCCATTTTGTTACTTTTTTTCTGGGGTTGTATTGTTGGTCCTCTCTTCCTTCCTTTCTGTCTTCCTTTGTGTAAAAGTGACTTTCTCTTGTAGTATATTTTAATTTCTTGGCTTTTCAGGTTTTTTTGTATCTATTATAGGTTTTTGTTTTTGTGGTTACCATGAGGCTTGCAAATACTATGACCAATTGTTTTAAACTGATGACAACTTAACTCTGATTATAAAGAAAAATAAGCAAAGAGAATTTAAAACTCCAACTTTAACTTCATCTCCCCTGCTTTTTGATTTGTTGTCTCTATTTACATATATTTTATATTGTCTATCTCTTCAAAAGTTGTAGTATTTATAATTTTTGGTAAGTCTGTCTTCTAGTCTTCTGATGAAAGGTATTAGTGGTTTATACACCACCATTACAATTAAAGGAGTCTAAACAGAGTTAGAATATTCTGTATTTGTCTGTGTACTTACTATTGCCAGTGAGTTTTATATCTTCAGATGATTTCTTGTTACTAATAAACATCCTTTTCTTTTGAATTGAAGAACTCCCTTTAACATTTCTTGTAAGACAGGTTCGGTGTTGACAAAATTCATAAGCTTTTTTTTTTCTGTGAAAGTTTTCATTTCTCCTCTATGTTTGAAAGACAATTTTGCTTTTACATATTATTTGCTTCTCTTCTCTTGCTGCTTTTAAGATCCTTTATCCTTGACCTTTGAGACTTTGATTATTGTATGTCCTGAAGTAGTCTTATTTGTCTTGAATCTGCTGGGTGTTCTTTGACCTTCTTGTACCTGGATAGTCATATCTTTCTGTGGGTTTGGAAAGTTCTCTGTTATTATGTCTTTGAATAAACTTTCTACTCTCATCTCTCTTAGTACATCCTCTTTGAGACCAGTAACTCTTAGATTTGCCCCTTTAAGACTGTTTTAAAGATCTTGTAGGCATGTTTCATTCTTTTTTTTCACCTCTGAGTGTGTATTTTCATATAGCCTTTCTCCAAGCTCATGGATTCTTCTGATTGATCAGTTCTGCTTTTGAGAGAGTGATGCATTTGTCAGTTTTTCAATGGGATTTTTCAACTCCAGAATTTCTACATGACTTTTAAAAAATTATTTCAATCTTTGTCAAATTTCTGATGGGATTCTGAATTCCTTCTGTTGTCTTGAAATTTGTTGAGCTTCCCCAAAACAGCAATTAATACTTTGAATTCCTTGTGTGAAATGTCACATATCTCCGTCACTCTAGGATTGGTCACACTGGTGCCTTATTTAGTTCATCTGATAAGTCATGTTTTTCTGGATGTTCTTCGTGCTTGTGGATGCTCATCGGTATCTGAGCAATGAAGAGTTAGGTATTATAATTTTTGCAGTCTTGGCTTGTTTGTATTCTTCCTTCTAGAGTGGGCTTTCCACGAATCCAAAAGAGATTGAGTGTTTTGGCCTAAGCCTGCAATTATTGCAGCCATTTCAGAACATTGCAGCCATTTCAGAACATTGCAGAAGCCATTTCAGAACCATTCCTAGGCTTAGATTCCTAAGCCTAGGAATGCTGCAGCTCTTAGATCCTCCTACATACACAGACTTGCTAGACTTCGGTAAGATGAGGGATAATTCCCTGGGTAACCAGGCAAAGTCTCTTACTCCTTCCCCAGTCAGAAGGAGTCTCTCTGTACACTGTGCTGTCTGGAGTTGGGGAGAGGTGACGTGCCCACTCTCATGGCTACCACAGCTAGCACTACACAGAGTCACACCCGAATCCCTTCAGACCAGTACAATACCGGGGCTAACCCAAGGCCTGCAGCCACCACTGCCTGATGTTTATTCAAGGCCCAGGACCACTTCAGTTAGCAGGGCATGAATTCTGCTAGGATGGGGTCCATCCCATCAGAGGAGTGGATTCTCTTCTAGCACAGAGTGAGTCTAGAAACGCATCCAGGTGCAAAAATCTAGAATCTGGGACTTCAGAAATCTGCTTGGTGCCTTTACTGTGGCTGAGCTCGTCCTCAAGTTGCAAGACACAGTCCTCTATACTCTTTCTTCCCCTTTCCCTGAGCAGAAAGAGTCTCTTTGGAGCAGTACTGCCTGGAGTTTGGGAAGGGATGACACAGGCAATCCTTTGGCTGCCACTGCTGGTCACACTGTATTGTACCCTAAGTGCACTGCCTCTGAGACCAGTGCAGCACCAGGGCTTGCCTTAGGACTGCAGTCCTTGTGGCCTGACTGCCACTTAAATTTATTCCAGGCCCAGGCTACTTTAGTCAGTGGTGGTGAAGGCAGCAAAGACTTGGTTTTCTCCCACTGGGACGGTGAATTCTTCTCTGGCCTGGGGCTGGTCTAAATGCTCCCTCCATGGGTGCTGGTGGAATTCTAGCCTATGTTGTGTTCCACTGTGACAGGGCAGCACTGAATTCTAATGCAAAGTTCAACACTTACTTCACTCTCCCTCCCCCTAGCACACAAATTATCTGTCCACTCTGCACTGCCTGGGGCTGGGGGCAGTTTGTATGGGTAATGAAAAACTGTCTTTCCTACACTCATCGGTACCTCTTTCCTTGATATTATGTTCAAACCAGGTATTGTGATCACTCACATGATTTTTTGGTTCTTATGAAGGTGCTTTCTTATGTGGGTGGTCATTCAATTTGTTATTTTTGCAGGGGAATGGTTGTTGGAGAGTTCTACTCAGCCATCTTGCTCTGCTTCCTCTCCTTAGAGAAATATTTCTTAATCGAGATTTAGGCTGGGCACAGTGGCTTATGCCTGTAATCCCAGCACTTTGGGAGGCTGAGGCGGACAGATCACCTAAGGTCAGGAGTTCGAGACCAGCCTGGCCAACATGGTGAAACCCCATCTCTACAAAAATTAAAATTAGCCTGTCATGAAAAAAACAAAAGATTTAAATACAAGCCAAAAAGGAAAAGATTTCTTTACTTGTATATGTTAAGATATTAGGCTTCTGTTACAAAAACAATATAAGTCAAATGAAAAGACAACTCATAGTCAGTGAGAAGACATTTACAATGCGTGTATTGTAACACAACAGATTAGTGTTAAGGACACATTAACTGATTAAGTATCAATGAGAATAATTAACTCATCGAAAATTAGGCAAACGATATGAATAAGCATTTCAAAAGTTACAGCAATCAGGAAAATGCAAGTAAAAACATGATACTACTTCACACTCAGCAATCAATGTAAAAATGTGGAGTGTAATAAAGAGGCCAAAAAATTACAGTGTGATACAGTTTAAATCTTTTAAACAATAGTGTGTATTGATCATCGATATATGTATATGGATATATCAATATATATTCAAAATATGTAGTAAAAATTATATATCTGTTACATATATATGTAGTGTATGTGTGTGTGTATTACAAGAGAATAAAGTTCCATTCCCAGAAATGATATATCCTTACTTCAAGTTAATGATTGTCTCTGTGGAATGAGGCTATTTGTGGAAGTAGAGAATTGAAGGCAACCTAGGTATTTGTCACTAAGGGAATGAACAGTAAAATGTGATAATTACATCCTGTGGAAGGAATACTGTGCATCATTTAGAAACACATATTTACATGTAAAGATGTAGTTAGAGCAACATGGGTAGAACTAGAAAACAGTGTTTATATTTAAAAAGTAAAATATATGGATCTATAGCATAAAACATATGCTTGTAATAACAATATATATTTTACCAGTAAATGTGTATATCTGAGGATATATCACATTTTAGTATGAACTTATGAAATGGAGGAGAATGAGAAAGGGATTGGGAATGAGCAAAAAAACAAAAATAAACAAATGAGAATATCTTTTACAGCTGATAATGATAATAGGTCATGGAATGAATAGTGTAAAAATTCAACTTTACATTCAAGGTTAAGAAAAGAGTGGGAGGAAAAAAAGGATATAAGATTTTTGGCATATGTAGGATAAATTAGAAGGTAGAGATCCTGGAAGGATGAGTAAGGAAACTGGTTCATAAAGACCTGCAATCATATTATAGTAATGGAAATAGAGAATAAAAATGCATATAAAAAAATCTATATAGGAAAAATGGGCAGAACTTCGTAATATTGAGCTAAAGGACAGGGGAAGAATCATGAAATTTTATTGCTAGAAGGTATCTTAATGTTCATCTAGTTTGACTTCCTAATTTTATAGAAAACTCAAAGTGAACCAAAGGCTTAGAAACTATTTGTCTTGTCCAGAGTTGCACAACAAATTCATGGAAAAGCCAAATTAGAACTCACATCTTGTAACTGCTAATCTAGTGAGCTTCTAAGCCTGGCTCTCTGACAGTATTCACAGCAGTGAGGAAGTCAAGTAGCAGAGTTGATTGCAGGGGAAAAAAGTATGATGAGTAGATACTTTGATTTTTGACATCTGCCTGGAAGATTCATTTAGTGTGGACATTAGGGCCTAAGGATTATAAATTGAGTTTAGAGATTGATAAAACTAGTTGCAGTTTTCCAAAGCCTAAAACGTCTTAAGTGTTTAATTGTCCATGAACAACTTTGCCATAATATTTACTGACAGTATTCCATAGCTTAACATTAAGCAGTTCAGAGTTGTATACATAAAACTATACTTGCTTTTCCTGCCACAGATTTGAAGGAACATAAGGATAAACAGATGCTTCTTTTACGGAAGAGAGTGTTGCTTTCAAGTATGACAGATTCTGAATGATGGGCATATTGACATTACCAGAATTTAGGTTTTGAGATGCTCTATATAGCCATGCCAAGAATAACTAAATTAGAAACTCCTTAAGTACTAGAGTTGTTTAAGTTTGTACTTATACTGAAACATATTAGTTTCATTTGTTGTCTGATAGTGTGGTGCAAAAAAGTTAAAATCATGTGAACTTATAATTAAAGCTTTAATCATATTTCATTTTGAGAGTTTTTGGTGATACCTTGTCATAGTAGATAAAACTTTTCAGCCTATTTTCTTAAGAACCTTCATTCACCTGATCCTCCTCAAACCTCCAGTTATACAGAAAAATAGTCATATTGCTGTTTCCCGCAGAACAACTTTTGGTAACTTCCTTTTTGCCTTAGATCATTCTGTTTCTCAGAAAATTTATAATTTTCTAAACCTAGCTAAAACTTGCCTTCTCCAGAAAGACTTCTCTCATTCATTCTACCAGATTTTTACTTTTTTATTCTTGTGAACCTACTCAGTATTTATTCATTTAAACTGAGATTTATACTGTTTTTCCAGAGGTGCTTTTTTTGTCTTATACATTTATTTATAATATATATCCAACTGAGTTATGATGATAATTATTTTCCAACTCTCATGTGCTCAGATTTTATGCCTGCCTTGTAAAGTCTTCGAAGGGAAAGATTGTCATTTATTATATCTTTCTAGGAATAACCAATGTTATCTTTTAAAAGGATGTACTATAAAGACTAAGTAGTGGCCGGGCGCAGTGGCTCACGCCTGTAATCCTAGCACTTTGGGAGGCTGAGGCGGGCGGATCACCTGAGGTCGGGAGTTTGAGACCAGCCTGACCAACATGGAGAAACCCCATCTCTACTAAAAATACAAAATTAGCCGGACGTGGTGGCATATGCCTATAATCCCAGCTACTAGGGAAGCTGAGGCAGGAGAATCACTTGAACCTGGGAGGTGGAGGTTGCGGTGAGCCGAGATCGTGCCATTGCACTCCAGCCTGGGCAACAAGAGTGAAAATCCGTCTCAAACAAACAAACAAAAAAGACTAAGTAAAGCATTTGCATGGGGTCCTTATTAACTTCTCATCAGAGTGGCATCATCAGAATATTTGTTAAAAATAATTTTAGCTGGCCAGGTGCGGTAGCTCATGCCTGTAATCTCAGCACTTTCGGAGGCCAAGGCGGGTGGATCACCTGAGGTCAGGAGTTTGAGACCAACCTGGCCAACATGGTGAAACCCCGTCTCTTCTAAAAATACAAAAATTAGCCGGGCATGGTGATGGGAGCCTGTAATCCCAGCTACTCAGGAGACTGAGACAGGAGAATTGCTTGAACCCAGGAGGCAGAGGTTGCAGTGACCTGAGATTGTGCCATTGTACTCCAGCCTGGGCAACAGAGCAAGACTCCATCTCAAAATAATAATAATAACTTAGCCACTAAGGACTTATCTCATTAACAGACATAGATATTATATTCATGTAAGGAGCCTATAATTTGTCCAATCAATTTATTTTATATTCATTGAGAACTTAAACATGTACATCTGTGCTCTGAAGGTAGAAACAGTCTTTATAATAAGTTTATGTATAATGTGATAGCCTCAAAGTTGTTTTAATTTGACCCATTTCATCTCATGCACACTTTCGTAGCTTCGACAGTTTCTGTGAGGATGAGATCTCATTAAATTTTTCTAGCTCAGGGTTCTCCTGGTTATCTCTACCCACATGGCTCAGAGGCACCTGAAAAGCAGCAGGCTCCAAAGTAAGCTTATCATTATCTCTCAGATCTTTTCTCCATATTTGTGAATTGTACCATCCAATTCCTGATTCAGAAAACTAGGAGACATCATAAATTCTTTTCTGTCCCAACTCTACCTTATAAATGTCTCTCTGATCTTTCACTTCATCACTTTCTCATCTGAGCTGCAGTAGTAACCTCTAAATTAGCTTACTGTACCCATCTTCCTTTCTCATACTGTTATCAAAGTGATCTTTCTAAAATATGTCCGATCATGTCACTCTCCTTCAATGGCTACTAAATGCCTATAGGATATAATCCAAATTATTCAGTTTGACAGATTACTCAGCTTGAGTCTCCTGTAGTACCAAACATGCCTTCTTCCTGTGTGCCTCGACTGTAGACTGCACATACATCTGTCACAACATTTTTTTCTTTTTTTTTCTTTTTTTTTTTTGTGGGAGAGCAGAGTTTTATTATTATTCAAATCAGTCTCCCCAAAAACTCAGGGATCAGAGTTTTTAAGGATAATTTGGCGGGTAGGGGGCCAGTGAGTCAGGAGTGCTGATTGGTTGGCTCGAGGATGAAATTGTAGGGACTCGAAGCTGTCCTCTTAATGCTGAGTCAGTTCCTGGGTAGGGGCCACAGAAACGGTTGGCAGGTCCAGGTGGGGCCATCCGGCTGTCAGAAATGCAAAAACCTGGAAAGACATCTTAAAAGGACAATTTTAGGTTCACACTAGTAATGTTATCTTCAAGAGTAATTGGGGAAGTTGCAAATCTTACGACCTCCAGACTAAATGGCTGGTAATATTTAGAATTCCAGCCCCTCTTATCCTAACTTGGTGGCTAGTGGCCTTTCATTCATTTTACAATAACAGTCTAGCTTTTGGGAAGGGCTATTTAAACTATAAACTAAATTCCTTCCCAAGGCTAGTTCAGCCTATGCCCAGGAATGGACAAAGAGAGTTTGGAGGTTAGAAGCAAGATGCAGTTGGTTAGATCTGATATCTTACCATGTCACAGCATTTTTAACACTTTATTAAGTGTTTACAAATCCATCTCTCTACACTAGTCTTTGAGCCCCTGGAAGGCGTGGATTATGATCTGGTGATGTTTATCTTGCCATCATCTAGCACAGTACTAGACATATGGCAGGTGCTCAAAAAAATACTTTTTGAGTGAGTGAGTCAGTTAATTAAATAATTAAATTACACTTTATTGGAGAGACAAGGCTAATTTATTCATGTGGATTTTCTATTTGTGTCCTTTGCTCTTTGACCTCTAAGGGCACAATTATTTTCTTGAACTGTCATTATTTTAAAAAATTATATTTTATCTCCTTCAGCTACACAGAAATGTGTGACCACTTAGAAGTTTGATTTCCAAAACAACACACCTGGAAAAAAAAATCATTTTAATATAATCAATAGAAGCTTTGCACAATGAATTAAAAAGATTTTTAGTGTTTCTCATTATAGATCCAGCATTTAAGCTGTATTGACTTTTAAATCTGTTTTTATTACCAGTAATCTCAAAGTTTGACTGGGTGCTAGAGCCTTAAATATTTTTTATGTTTAGTGCTCTCTCGACATTTAAATATGAAATAAAATCCAGGACATCTTTAAAATATGCTAGCAAAATTACTTATATATAAGTGGTTTCATTGAAGAGCATTAGAGCTGATGTGATAGGAATGCAATTCTTAGTATTGCTCTATCATATTAAATCTGGAAAGGTAAATTATATAAATCACAGTTTGTATATGTTCATTGTGTTCATTTTTAATCTTTTTTACAAATGCATATTTTTTCTTTAAAAATGTGTGTGCTGATAATTTTTATATACTATCTTATTTTTTAAAAGACATGTACTTTTGCCAGGTAATAGTTTTATTTTAGCTAACAGATTTTTCTCAGATGTTTCATGTTCTAATTTAAATAATATTGTGTCTTCTATTATAAAAATGCTATGGAAATCTGGAATTCATGGATCACTAGTTTTGATTCATAGTGTGTCTTGGAAACAATCCCATGTGAGAAATGGCCCTGAGCAGATGTGCTTAGTCATAGAATTGCCAGACAGTTCCTTATGTGTTGGCAGCTAGTTTTCTGAGCATGGAAAACAGGTTTTAAGATAAGAAATAGGGCTTTGCTGTCAGTTTTCTATTTCTTCACACTGTTTTACTTTAATGTTATTTAAAGGGATTACTGTCACCTTTATTCAATAATGTTTATATATCTTTTTCTCTCAATCTTTAAGAGACAGTAAGAAGATTATTAGACTTCTAGAACACACTGGTCAAGAGTGGAACCTTAGCCACAGTTAATTAGTATTAACATTTCTTGTTTGGGGGTCTGGCAAGAATAAAACAAATACATAACATCATTGTTCAGAACTTTTGCCTCTAAGAGTAGATGACTGTTTTCTTTCAAAATATATTTTAATTGATGTTTATAACTTTCTTTTGCAGATACGCTACATTTGTACACCTGTCTTTAAAAATGTGGTTCTGTGTGGTATGAAATTTAAAAAACATAGGCTTTGAAGTCAGCTCTAGTTTTTTATTGTGGCTCTGCCATTGTCTTAATCCATTGGGGCTGCTATAACAAAATGCCACATACTGAATAGCTCATAAACAACAGAAATGTATTTATTACAGTCTGGAGGCCGTGAAGTTCAAAATTAAGAAAATGGCAGATTTGGGATTTGGTGAGGGGCTGTTTCCTGATTATACATGACACCTTCTCTCTTTGTCTTCACGAAGTAAAAGGGACAAACAAACCTCCCTTGGGCCTCTCTTATGAGGGCACTAATCCCATTTTCGAGGGCACTGCTATCATGACCTAATCACCTCCCAAAAGGCCCCACCTGGTAATATCATTACATTGAGAGTTATATGAAGGTTGTATTTATATGAGATTTCAACATATGAATTTTGCAGGGACACAGATACTCAGACTAAAACAGCCATTTACTGGTGATTGACTTGGGTAGGTTGTTTAACTGCATGGACTTCAGTTTCCTCATTGCTATAATGAAAATGAAATTACCTTCCTTGCAGTGTTGCAATATAATATAACTTACTGTCTTTGCCCACCTCCCTTCTACTTTAGTATCCAACCTCTGTAGGTAGGATATACAGTACTTACAAATTACCTGCTAATAGATTTGGGAGTTGTTATTAACATTGTAATAAATAGTGGATTATTTACCCCCCAGACCTGGGAAATCTGCCTTTTGTTGTTGCTGCTGTAATTTCTAGGACCAGAGTAACCATTTCTTTCTTTCTCCTCTTTCTATTATATTGTACCCCCATTTCTTGCCAACTGTACAATCCCAAATTCTTTCTATTCCCTCCTGTATGTTTCGGTTATATTCTTTTTGTTTTGAAATCTTAGTTTCTCTTTTGCATGGTTCTTTTAAGACTTCAGATGTATAGACCTCCCTGATGACTCCTCAGATACTTTCTTCTTCCTATTCTTTGATGTTGCTTGGAAGAATCTGTATTTATTATAGTCACTCTTTGGAATTTTCTTCAGTTTGGATTCAGCCCCCCTCCATCTATTCTTCTCCTCAAGAATTACTGGTACCTTTTATGACTTAAAAATGCCTCCCTCATTCTCCTTGGTTGTTGATTTTCCTTAACTGATGATTTTTTCTACCTTTCTTAAACATTTCTCTACCAGGACTTTTGTGTTTATGCCATGATTTCTTCTCTGACTTTTGTTGCTTGTTTTTTTGTTTTGTTTTGTTTTGTTTTTTGCTTCTTTTGCTTCCCCCATTTCCTTATCCTACCTATGAAAAGTATACATTTCTTAGATTTCTAACCATGTGACTCAGTTTTTCTCCTTCATAGATGATCATATCTACCCTACCCAATTTAAACTTTCAGCCCTAATGTTTTCCAAGTATACACCTCTGACCTTGATTGCTTTGTTGAGTTCCATAATTGAATTGCTAGGTCAGTGGTTTTCAAACTTTTTATTTTTTGACAGTAAACTCCTTTTTTAAAAAAAGAAATCTTATACATGGAACCTCAGAATTTAAACTTATAAAAGTAGAATGGCTATGATTGAAGGAGTAGAGGGTCTCTCTATCTTACTAGCTAATGCCATCATCAAACCTCAGAATTTTTGCTTGCTTGCTCTCCTTTGCTTCATCTCTACATCTGCTCGTGTTGGCTCTATGTACAGATGATCACAAATCTAGTCATCATCCATATCACCTCTACCCCACCATCTCTTGTTTGCAGTACCCTTTTCTCTGGTCTACCTGCTTTCACTCTTATTCCATCGCAATTCATTCTCCACACAATATATCACATCATTTACCTGCTTCAGACCCTCCAGTGGATTTTCATTGCAATTGGAACACATTCCAAAATTCCTAGTATATCCAGAAGGCCCTTATGTGATCTGACCTCTACCTTCCTCTCTGACTTTATCTTACACTTTTTTCTCTGTGATACGTTCCGTCTTAATTGTCATTTCTTTGTCTTTCTCATATTCTTTCATTTATTCTTAATTATCTTCACCTGTAATTCTCCTACCCTAAGTTTTCTTCAGTTTGCCTCATCATCCTTTAGGTCGTAGCTCAGATATTTCTACCATAGATGTGCCTGATGACCCATGTCTTTCCTATTTCCCTGTATCATCTTCTTTGTAACATTGTCACTTTCTTTAATTACCTGATTTATTGAAATACTTGTTGCCTGTCTCCCTCCATTACAATATGAACTTTATGAGACAGGGGCTTTGTCTTCCTTGTTTACCACTGCATCACCAGTGCTGAAGACAGTGCTTCGTATGGTGCATGTAGGTGCTCAATAGACAGTACTTGGTATAGTACATGTAGGTGCTCAGTAAAATAACTCTAGGACTCCTGAAATAGAGATAAAACAAACAAAAAACTGATGAGCCACCAGCACTTAAGGCTCAACATGTCCAAATTATATTCACAGTGTCGGGCATGTTATAAGCATTCAATAAATATTTGTTCAAAGAATGAATGCATAGAATCCCTTAAATTCTGTTTGTAAAATCTACACCATCTCTCTCAGAATTGTTGTCATCACTCTGGTTTAGACTTTTCCTCCCTCTTGCTCATTTATTATAACATATTGGTTACAGAGAGAGACAGAACTATCATTCTAGTCTATTCTTTTTCACAAATGTCAGGTTTAAATTTCTAAAGTGCAGCTCTGAGCTCCGATACCATTATTGGTACAGTTTCCCATTTGCCTTTAAATTGATACAGATAACTTAACTGTCAATTAAGGTCATTGACATTGTAGTCCCCATGGCCTTTACAGTCTTATTTCTCATCTTCCCTAAATAAGCCCTACACTTACCTACCTTTATGCTTGTGCTTATCTTGTTTCTTCCTAAAGCTTTCTCTGTCTCTTCTTGTGAGATATATAATTCCTCTGCCAATTCTTGCTTTAAATACCTCTCACTTCAATATTCTCCCAGCTAAATGTAAATGTGCTGCATACTCAGAATCATAATGTTTTATTTTAATTTTTTTGTTGCTTAACATATGCTTGCTTTGTGGCCCTCCTCAAGATTACTATAGCGCTATAATTACATTGAGCTGAAAGTTTAAATTGGGTAAGGTAGATATGATCATCTATGAAGGAGAAAAATCCTTTGTGTGTTTTGTACCACATTATTGCAGCACCTCAAACATTGCAGGCATGAAGTAAACATGTTTTAAGCATGTCTGTTGCATAAGAGATTTGAATAGTCTGATCAATAATAGATTATGAATTAATATTTTCTGCACCTTGTCAGTGTTACCCAAAGTTACATGACTCTAAGACTAGACTTGTAATCATCGTTTACAAAAGAGTAAATTGTCAATCTTGTAGGTATTTTGTAAAATTTAAGACAGTGAATATACATCAGAATCCCCTGTAGAGACTCTGAAAAACAGAGATGACCAAGTACTGCTTGCAGACGTCCTGAATGAGTAAGTCTCAGATTGAGCCTATCCATATATGATGTGAAAAAGCCTATCCATATTAGTTGCAAAAAGCTCACTTTCGTACACACAAAGTATGGACACTACTACTAGTATCATAGAATATTGTATCTAACATAGAAATTAGAATTTTGAATTACCTGAAACTATGTATAATTTTGAATTAACTTCAAGTGTGTATAAATAATATACAAATAACGTATTTAAAAACTGAAGAGCCACTGTTTTGGAAAGTTTTGATAGCTCAGCGTATGGATTATAATATCCACTGCTTTTAGAATTTCTTTGGAACCCTTCTGTCTTGAATAGGTTTCATTATTAGACTGCCAGTAAAGATTGGGAAGAGGAAAAAATTTGAAATAAAACTTTATCCAGTTTTGGTACTTACTCAGTTTCCTAAAAGCAGTAGTGATTTTAAAAGTTTAGAACTTTGTCTAAAATTATGTTTCAGGATTTTCTAAAGTTTTTAAGTGTAAATGATTGGCTTTATTATACTGGGTAATTACAAAAGTCCTTATTAAATTACCTAACGTGTGCATTTTTTTATTTTAAAGAGGAAAAAATTAAGAATATCAAATCAGCAAAAACTAGCTTTTATATCTGAGAATCTTACCATTTTTCACTGTATGCAAAAAAGGCATAAACATTTCTAGGATTCTCTTTGTATGACAGTGCAGGAAGAAACATAAAAATTTGTCTTAAAATAGACTCATTGTACTTGATGTTAAGTCTCAAAAAAGTGTATTGATAATTAAAGCATTTTAATTTCTGTCCAAATTGATGGTATAATTTAAATCTAGTATTATATCCTATCCTTTATGTTATACTTGATTAAATTTTGCTTAACAAAGTTTTATTTTTAAAAAGTTGTTGGCCGGGTGTGGTGGCTCATGCCTGTAATCCCAGCAGTCTGCGAGGCCGAGGCAGGCGGACCATGAGGTCAGCAGATCGAGACCGTCCTGGCTAACACGGTGAAACCCCGTCTCTACTGAAAAATACAAAAAATTAGCCAGGCGTGGTGGTGGGCGCCTGTAGTCCCAGCTACTCAGGAGGCTGAGGCAAGAGAATGGCGTGAACCCAGGAGGCGGAGCTTGCAGTGAGCCAAGATCGTACCACTGCACTCCAGCCTGGGCAACAGAGCGAGACTCCATCTCAAAAAAAAAAAAAAAAGTTGTCATTCAAATCTGTTTAATATCATAAGAAATGAAGTAATACATTAATGAAAAATCCCAGGAATATAAAGTGGATTAACAAGCATACCTGAAAATAAAGTAATGTACTTTTTAGAATATTAATTTGAAGCAAAAATAAAATCCTTTGGTAGTTATGACATCAAGATTGTTAATAGTTAACTAGTTGTGTTTTTTTAAATCAAAATTTTTTTGTTAAACTGTTCTTGACTTTTATAAAATTACATACACAGGCAGACATATATCTAAAACATTTGCATGTAAATAGTATAAACATAATTATTGAGTTTCTTCATAAAATAATATTAGAATTATTTTTGTTAGTTCCTTCAAAAATTTTAAAAGCTTGAATATTTAAAAGAACTCACAAGACTGCACAGAGCATACTTACAGAAGGCTTTTATTTAAAGGCCAAAGGATATTGTGCAGCCAGAAAAAGAACATAGGCAAGCATCTAGCGTCCAGAACACATTCAGGATAGGCACCCTAGGGCCTTTATTTATATACAGACATGCTTTGTCTCCACATTGAGCCACCAAGATCTGTGCAATGAATCTTGGCTTCAGGAGAGCTCCAGGCAGGAGTTCCCATCAGGGTCATTTTTTCTGGCACACTGATCACATAGCCTAGCCTGGCTATCTAGTTATGCCTGGTGAAAATTATCAGTAAACAAATCAACTTGCAGGCTGCAGGAAGAGATTCATACTTTAAACAGCACATCATAAATCCCACTGTTCGTATACTGGCTAAGAGTCAAGGCTAGATATTCAGGCATCCCCAGAGCTTTCCCAGTCCAGCTGTAAATTAATACTTTACTACACAGTTCCTGACAATTTAATCTAATAAAAGGCAAAATGATGATGGTAGCTGCATTGTATAAACTACAGTAAAATTTATTAAATGCTTTAATATGTATTAACTTATTTGAACTTTATAATTCTGTGAGCTATATGGGAAAATTATTTTTATCTCCATTTTATAGATACTAAGACTCAGAGAGGTTAAGTGATTGGCCCAGTTCACATACCTTTTGTGTTGGTAGAGTCAGTTCTAGAAGACAGGCCTTCTGCCTTTTATTTTAGATTTTTTTTCAACACTTCCTGCCAAAAGTAGATATAAAGAACTATTTACTTACTTTCTAACTGTTCTATGGAACAGTGTGGGAATAAACAAATATATTTAAAACCACTACTTATTTCCCCCCAAAAAAATAGTATTTGTGGTTTAGTGAACATAATATAATATGAATGTTTTCAGAATTTTTTTTATAATGACTTCCAAATTAGGTCTAAGTCCAGTGCCTATTTTTTTTCTTTTTACTTATGTAGCAGGAGATTTCATTTCAAAGGAATATGAGATAATATATATTTGGAATAATTGTTCATAAAATTATTTTTCTAGAATTTTTCACACATGAATATTAAATTGGGTGTGCAAGATCTAGGTAAAATATCAAGATATAGTTGTACTGTAACATTCTCTCTCTCTTTCTCTCTCTCCCTCTCTTTCTCTCTCCCTCTCTTTCCCTCTCCCTCTCTCCCTCCCTCTCCCTCTCCTCCCTCCCACTACTCCTTCCCCTCCCCTCTCCCTCCCCCCACCTTTTCCTTTTGCCCTCTCATTCATTTATGATTGATTTACTTGTCTCCTATGCCCCAGGTACTATGCTATCTCCTGAAGGTTTAAAAATTAATAAGATGTGATCCTTGCTTTTAATTATCTTACATTGTATATTTTTTATGAACTCACAGTTCCACAAAGGAGAATCTCTATAGTATTGATTACAATACAGTGTGTTCAATTAATAATGTATAAAGTATTATATATTATAAGTATTGAGATATAGGGTTTTTGCCAAGGAGAAGTTAGTGAAGACTTGAAGATGGGGAGATTTTTGATCTAGGTCAAAATTAAGGAATTGGTTAGAAAAAGAAGAAGACTAGTCCAGCCAAACATGTGAAAAAAGAAACAAGGATGTGTTTAGAAAACAGCGAGTGAGTACTTTATTATACTTGGAATATAAATTACATGGGGGTAATTGGCAAGAGATGAGACTCTTTGAGGCTAGATGTTGACTGGCCTTATATGCCAGTAGAGGAGTGTAGACTTATATGTAGAGGAGTGTAGACTTTATGCCAAAAAGTGTGGAATCCAGGAATCATTGTTAAATAGGAGTTTTTATTACTAGATAATTTTTTTAACAGATAAGATACATTATAAAGAATGAACAAAAGAGGAGACCATCAGTGAAGAGATGAGTTTGGAATCTACTGGAATAGTCTTATGAGTGATAATGAAGCTAAAGGTTGGGCCAAAGAATGAAAAAGGAATACACAATTGAAAGACAACTTAGAAATAGACTCAGGCCAATTAGATTGAAATAAGGAAAGAATCTAATTCTAGAATTTTGGTCTTGGCAAATTGCCTAATCCACCTCTGTTTTTGGACATGAGGTCTTTGAGACGTGCAGCATGGTCAAGTGAATTGTATTAAGACATATTACTAGTTAGTGACAGAATTGGGTCCCTGCCTGTAGTGTTCTCCACATTGTACCTTGCTTCCTGTGTCTCCAACAGGTTTTTTTTTTTTTTTCCTTGATCATGCTATGACCTTATCTTGCTTACAGTTTACAGGACACTCTAATATACATTATCTATTTTTACTTGTTCAGCAATCCCATGAAACAAGTAGAACAAGCAATTATTTTATCCTTTCTGAAGGTAAGAAAACCAAATCAGTGTGGTTGCTATGCTTTTTCAGAGTTTTCTCAGTTTTATCCTTACTACTTAAATATATTATTCCTTAAGTTTTTCCTTTAAAAATATATAGGATTTTATAACTGGTAGAATCATTTGTTGATTTAGATTGTAGATATACTCCTGAAATTATCTCTCAGCCTGACGCAGAGATTTTACATGAATAATGTGGTTTTTATTTTGTCCTTAGGGAATCATTTTGCAAATGAAAAAAACCTATTTTTGTTTGATTTTTTTTTTTTCTTTGAGATGGAGTCTTGCTCTGTCACCTGGCTGGAGTGCAGTGGCACGATCTCGGCTCACTGCAACCTCTGCCTCCCAGGTTCAAGCGATTCTCCTGCCTCAGCCTCCCAAGTAGCTGGGACTACAGGCACGCGTGCCATCACACCCACCTAATTTTTGTATTTTTAGTAGAGATGGGGCTTCACTATGTTGGTCAGGATGGGCTCAATCTCTTGACCTTGTGATCCTCCCACCTCGGCCTCCCAAAGTGCTGGGATTACAGGCATGAGCCACCGCACCTGGCCTGTTTGATTTTTTTTATAATCTTGGTTAATTTAAAGCAAAACATTTTCTTAAATGCCTCATCATATAAAATATTATTAGGACCATGTGAGGGTAGGCAGTCTGTCATAGGGGACTCATTAAATACTAGTTTTATTACGTATTGTGAATCCTAGGGCATATTAGTAAACCTCTATCAACCTTGCTCTCCTCTACTTCAGTTTGATATAATAGTAGTATTAATTCACAGTTATTATCGAGTGTCAAGTGAGATGACTGCAAAGCATTTACAACAGTCCCTGGCACTAATAACTACCTGAGATATTATCAGCTATTATTAGATTTGTATTTTCTATTGTAGGAAATTTATAACTATATAAGTAATGCAGTTTTAAAGACAAAGAGTCAAAAGGAAATGAACTAACATTTACTTGTGAATTTTGCATCAAATAATTTCTGTAAGTTCTATAGCACAAATATGATTTACATTTAGATACATACATAAAATGTAATTAAGAAATAGGGAACAGTTCCTACACTACAGTATTTTTTTCTTGAAAATGTATGTTCTTTAGATAATCAAAGGGTTTTATACTCACTTAATGCTTAATTATGATGATATTAAAAATCATTTTTTCTGTTTAAGAAAGTCATATTATTGTTCTAAAATCATTTCCTATGAGGAGTTAAGAAGATATTGAAACTTATTTAATTCTGTTAGAATGTTCAAAAAAATTTATCTTTTTCATTTGTTGCCAATACAGTCTCTGAAGAAAATAAACATTGTATTATGGTGGAACAAATGTTTTAATTTATGTTGTGTTTACATAATACAAACTTCTGGTGTCTATGGAATGATCAAGGTATTGAAGTTTAAGTTCATTTTCATAGAAAGTCCAATCAGCAGTATATCTCCATCTCCATCTATAAAGATATTATAGACATAAGTATATTCTTCTTAGTGCACTGGAGCTCTTGTTAGGTAATGTATCAAGATGATAAAGTGCTTTTTCAAGAAACTTATTGAATCACTTTGGTATATAATATAATTTACCCAAGTACAGCATTCATGACCTCTACTTCATACCCTTCGCCATTCAGCTATATTTTTTCCTCTTTAATATCTTCTACATGCACTTCATTAGTAATAAAGGAATCTTCCAAAATTTATTCCATGGATCCATTTTAGATAAACAAGAGTTAGAACTGATTTTACCAAATTCAGATTTCTATTCTAATTTTTTATTCTTAGTGGTCTATGAAAACAGTGTTTATTAATTTACTTTATTTTTTAGGCAAGCCAAATTAGAGCTGAGAGTTGCTGTAGCAAAAGTGGAAGAGTTAACTAATGTGACTGAAGATCTGCAGGGACAGATGAAAAAGAAGGTATTTTCTATTTCTAAGACAAATGGGTACCTATTGCTTAGTTTTCTTTCTATTTTGTTGATTTATTTTGGATTAGGTGTTAAAGAGGGTTGTCAGAAGATGAATTAATTATTTTAATACCCTTAAAATATGAAAGTAGGAAGCTAAACTATATTATTGAAAACAACTTTATAAAGAATTTTTTATTTCCATTCTCTATAGCCTAATTCAATAGAACGTCATAATCACACCTAAGCACATCATTACTGAAACGCAAATTGATACAAGATCAAGTTTCAGTTAACTGGTTATTTGCAGGTGGAAAACAAGCATTTAATACTACTTTTATGTTATTTACTAAAGTATTTATTGACACAATAGACTCTGGTTCTTTTTAATATGTAATAGAGAAATTTCAGAAGGATGTCAAGGAAAAGTCAGGCTTTAGTTTTAGATAGATATAATTATTGAAAATTCTCACTCTGGGACTTATTAGCTATGTAACTTTCTAAGCCTTATTTCCAATCTGTAAAAAGTTGATTATAGATTTCTAATAATGGTAGATTTTCTAAGTGTTACAAGAACCCTCCCATAGGTAACAATTTTAAAACTTGGATAAATTTTTAAAACACCAGAAAGCACCCAAAACAGAAAGAAGTAAAAGAAATAAGAATTGTTAAATTTTGGATGTCTGGCCTGATGGTTCTCCCAACCCCCACAGCTGTGGCTTCAGAAAACACCTTTGTATGGGCTTAAGGTACCCAGGTCAAAGTTTAGGGCTAGAAAAGCAGTAGGAAATTTATTTTATTTTATTTTATTTTATTTTTGAGTCAGAGTCTCGCTGTGTCACCCAGGCTGGAGTGCAGTGGCTTGATCTCGGCTCACTGTCAGCTCTGCCTCCCGGGTTCATGCCGTCCTCCTGCCTCAGCCTCCCAAGTAGCTGGGACTACAGGTGCACGCCGCCACGCCTGGCTAATTTTTTGTATTTTTGGTAGAGACAGGGTTTCACCGTGTTAGCCAGGATGATCTCAGTTTCCTGACCTTGTGATCTGCCTGCCTCAGCCTCCCAAAGTGCTGGGATTACAGGTGTGAGCCACCGCGCCCGGCCAGCAATAGGAAATTTAAAGAAGAAATACTGGCAGCAAGAGAAACACACAGAAAAAGTGAGAGCCAAATTCTGAGTGTAAATTCTTACCAAATTCATGCCTGACAACTAAATTATGCATATGGAAGTGGGGGAGGGACCCCAGAGAGGCCAGTGAAGAAGCAGGCAGAGACCTAAGAGAAATTTACTTTTGAAAGATAGAGATGTATGGAACTAGATATTTGAGTTTGCTACTTTTTATAATTGAATACATGCGAGAAATGTGTGCAATTGAAGCATCAGCATACTGAAGACTTCCTTATTGTTTGAAGTATCAGAGGACAAAGCCCAAAGCTGGAAAGGCAGCTGGATATTACAGGGGAATCTGTAGAAGCGAGGGAACCACAAAGATGATGAGCCCTAACTCTGCCCAAATCTTGACTGATCTTCAAATTATGTAGGCACAGAGCCTAGTTATAAAAGCAACAGTGGAAAGCAGTAAGAACTAATTACAGATATCAGCTGCTACCTACTGTATGTGGAACAGATTTCAAATTTCAAGACCAAGCAAGATAATTGTCTACTTGAACTAAAAAAATAAAAATAAAAATTTAATGCTCAAAAGAACGAAACAGAGTAACTGCAATGTATTATCTACACTATTGAGTTTTCAAAAATTACTAGACAGAAAAGTATGACCTATACTTGTGGGGGAGGTGCTGAGGGAGGAAGCCATTAGAAACTGACTTTAAATGGATCGATCTGTTAGATTTAGCAGACAGAGACTTCAAGTCAGCTATTATATATATGTTCAAGGAATTAAAATCTGTTTTTAAATTAAAGTCTCTAGGAAGAGATAGATAATTTTAATTGAGAACTGGAACACAATTTTTAAAAAAGAAACTCTAGAGCTTTAAAGTTCAGCAACTGAAATAAAAATTTCACTAGATGGACTCAAAAATAGATTGGGAAAGACAGAAGAAATAATCAATGAACTTGAAGTCAGATCAATAGAAATTTCCCTGTCCAAAGAACAGAGAGTTTAAAAGATTGAAGAAAAATGAACAAGAGCTCAGAAATCTGTAGAACAATGTGAAGCAATGCAACATAAGTGTAATTGGAACTGCCAAAGGGAGGGGGATGGGAGCAGAAAAAAATTAAAGAAATAATGGCTGAAAACTTCCTAAATTTGGTGGAAAACATTAAAATTTAAGAATCTCAATGAGTAAACAAAATCACTTTGAGATACATCACAATGATACTGACAGCCAATTATGAAGAGAATACCTGAAAGTAGCAATAGAAAAATGACCTGAACAGAGAGGCAATGATAAGATTAATGGCTAAGTTCTCATCAAGAAACTGTGGAAACACTTCTGGACATAGGCCCTGGCAAAGATTTTATGTCAAAGACTCCAAAAGCAATTCCAACAAAAAGCAAAAATTGACAAGTGGGACCTAATTAAACTAAAGAGCTTCTGCATACCAAAGGAAACTATCAACAGAGTAAACAGACGACCTACAGAATGGGAAAAAATATTTGCAAACTGTGCATCTGACAAAGGTGTAATATCCAGCATCAATAAAGAACTTAAACAAATTTACAAGAGAAAAAAAAACATTAAAAAGTAGGCAGCGGACATAAACAGACACTTTTCAAAAGAAGATATACATGTGGCCAACAAGCAAATGAAAAAATGCTCAACACTATGAGTTAGAAAAATGCAAATCAAAATCGCAATGAGATACCATCTCACACCTGTCAGAATGGCTATCATTACAAAGTCAAAAAATTACAGATGCCGGCAATATTGCTGAGAAAAGGGAATGTTTATCCACTGCTGGTGGGAATGGAAACTAGTTCAGCCACTGTGGAAAGAGGTTTGGAGATTTCTCAAAGAACTCAAAACAGAAGTGCCATTCAACTGAGCAATCCCATTACTGGGTATATAACGAAGTAGTATAAATCATTCTACTATCAAGACACATGTCCATGTATGTTCATCACAGCACTATTCACAATAACAAGGAGATAGGATCAGCCTAGATGCCCATCAGCAGCAGACTGGATAAAGAAAATGTGGTACGTGTACACCATGGAATACTACACAGCCATAAAAAGAATGAAATCATGTCCTTTGCAGCAATATGGATGCAGTTGGAGGCCATTATCCTAAGCAAATTAACTCAGGAACGGAAAACCAAATACCGCATGTCCTCACTTACAAGTGGGAGCTAATCATTGAGTACAAATGGACGCTAAAGGGAACGATATACACTGGCCCTACTGGAGGGTAGGGGATGGGAGGAGGGTGAGTACTGAAAAACTACCTATCAGGTACTATGCTCATTACCTAGGTGGCAAAATAATCGGTATACCAAACCCCCGATACACAATTTACCCATGTAGCAAACCTGCCCATGTACCCCCTGAATCAAAAATAAAGGCTGGAAGGGAGGAAAAAAAAAAACCTGTGGAAACAAAGTATTAGAATAATATATTTCAAATGCTGAAGAAAAAAAATACTAAGAATTCTATATTCAGTGAAGTTATACTTCAAAAATGAAGGCAAAATACAGGCATTTTCAAATAAACCAAAAATGAGAGAGTTTGTCCCCAGCAGACCTGCATTCAAAAAATTCTGAAGGAAGTTCTTTAGGCTAAATGGAAATGACACCAAATGACAACTCAGATACAAGAAGAAACTAAAAGCAACAGAAATGGCAAATATGAAATAACATGTGTACATACTTTTCTCTTAATATCTTTAAAAGATGGCTGCTTATAGCAGAACTAATAACACCGTATTTGATGGGTTTGTAAAGTGTGCAGATGTAATATATGACAACAATGGCACTCAGGACTGGGATCGTACATGGATATATGCTGTTGCAAGGTTTCAGTGTTTTCTCTGAACTATTATCTAAATATTAACTCTGAATAAATTGGGTAAGTTCAAGATGCATATTGTAATCTCTACAGCAACCACTAAAAAATAGTTCAAACAGATATAGCTAAAAGCAATAGAGGAATTAAAATGACATTCTTAGGCTGGGCATGGTGGTGTGCATCTATAGTCCCAGCTACTCGAGAGGCTGAGACAGGAGGATCACTTGATCCAAGGAGTTTGAGTGCAGCCTAGGTAACATAACAAGACTCTAAAAAAAAAAAAAAAAAAAAATTTGGCCAAGCACGGTGGCTCACGCCTGTAATCCCAGCACTTTGGGAGGCCGAGGTGGGTGGATCACGAGGTCAGGAGTTCAAGACCAGCCTGGCCAATGTGGTGAAACCCTGTCTCTACTAAAAATAAAAAAATTTGCTGAGCACAGTAGCAGGTGCCTGTAATCCCAGCTACTCGGGAGGCTGAGCCAGGAGAATCACTTGAACCTGGGCAGCAGAGGTTGCAGTGAGCCAAGATCGTACCACCGCACTGCAGCCTGGACGACAGGGTGAGATTCTGTCTCAAAAAAAAAAAAAAAAAAAAGTTATGGCATCATAAAAAATATTTGTTAACACATGAAGCAAGAAAAGATGAACAAGAAATTTCCTTAGAAAGTTGATACAAATAAAATTTATTAATATAGGTCAAATCATCACTATGTCAAAGAAGAAAGACCCTGTGATTACCTTGATAGTTAATGAGACATAGAATAATATAGTTAAGAGAGCATATTCTAAAGGCACATTATCTGCATAGAAATCCCTCTCGTTTTGTTAGACTTGTACTATAGAAATAGTTTGAAATATTGGTAGAAATCTATGTGCAATAACTGTTTGGAGTATTTTTTATTAACACAGGATTGATGATGAAGTTCTCCCCTCCTTTTTATTATACACATGATTTGTTTCCAAAGTCATATTGTTTCTTTTAACGTAAGTGTTAGAATGCTAATAGCATAATAACTTTATAGCATGAGCTGTTTTCTTTATGCTGTATAATGGTGTATTGAATTTTCACATACTCAAAGTAAGCTTCTAGTTTCTTTATTTTCTAGGAGAAGGATGTGGTGTCTGCCCATGGAAGAGAGGAAGCATCAGATAGGCGTTTACAGCAGTTACAGTCTAGTATAAAACAATTAGAAATAAGGTAAATTGTTAAATGCACCTAGCTTTGTTGATATGCTTTAAAAGATATTTTACAATAGAGTTTCAGTGTGTGATATTTACTAGAATAAATATTTTATAAACTCCAAATCAAAACTATAATCATAGGTGTAAAATCTGATTTAATCGACATTGTTTATTAAAAACTATATTCAACAGATTGCTATACTTTGAATATATATTCAAAGATAATTTGTTTAATATGATTTTAGAACCTTTACTAAGTACATTAATTTAATTTTGAATGAGAATAATTGTACCAAATTTAGTCCAGTACTTTTTAGGAAACAAATAAAACCCTTGATATCATGCTTTTGTATCAGTACTGCAGAGCACAAAGCACACCTTTATTTTCATTTCTCCTCAGGTCATCCTGCAGAGTTTGGTGTGAACATAGTTGACCCTCAGTAACCTAAAATCTTTCTTTCTTCTAAAGAGTGGTTAAAATTTTAAAATCATAGTTAAGAGGAAATTTGATATTACCTCAACCCCTCTATAATTCTGTACTTCTGCAAATAATACAGTTACAGTAGAAATAAACCATCAAAATGGAAGGCAAAGAAAGGAGAGGAATGTTATTTTTAAAAACTATTTTTTAGGAATCATGAACCATAAATCCTACAAAAAGGATTAGCTTCAAGAGCTAAATGTAGATTCTTTTTGCATCTTGGGCGTAATATGTCAGAAAAATCTTGCAAGCTGAAGCTTGATCATCAATTCTTTTGGTCCTCCAGAAGGCAAGGTGCTAGTGCATCCTGCTCCCCAGTACTGTTCTCCCTTGTGTTCTTGGGAATTCTAATTTGCAATGGCCCTTCGGATACCTTTACCCATCACTTATCTCTGCCCTGATAGCCATCATCAGTTGGTGTCATGTTTTTCAACAGGAGTATTGGCTTTTTGAGTGAGACAATTCTTAGTTGTTTGAGACTGTGCCAATAACTACAGGATGTTTAGCATCCCTGGCACCAAATACTAAATTCTAGTCGCATCTCTTAGCATTGTAACTACCAAATGTCCCTACACATTTCAAATGCCAATACCATCATAGTTGCAAACTGTTGAGTATGGGACACTGGTATATCAGAATGGTCCATGCAGTACTTTTTTAAAAATCTTTTTTCTTTGTACAAGTTGAGCCACATGACTTCATATTAGATTGTGGACTTTATTTTAGGTAGGGAGAATATATATTTGTCTTTTTCTAAAGCTGAGAAGTAATTTTTAACCAGATGCTAAAAGTCATCTTGAAAAGATGACATTTTCCAAGTGCTTTGATGATTTTATTTTGCTATAAATGAATAATTTATCTGTTTAATAAAATCTTTTCATTTGACACAATGACTATAATAAAAGTGACAATAAATATATGCCTGCCCCTCCCACATTAACAATGCCTTTTGTGTACTAATATTTAGAATAACTAATATAGGTAGAGGAAAACAAGTATGGTCCTTGAAGGAATCAATAATAATTAGATTTGAGAAGAAAAGAAGTGAAATGAAGTTTTAATAATTTTTGTATGTTTGTTTGTGGTAATTTTGGGCAGTATAAAGGAGACATATGCAGCATACTTGAAACTTCTATTTTTATGCCTATTGAACAGGAGTAGTAGAAAAAGGTCTAAGAGATAGTTGAGATATGCCCCAGTATGACTAGGTATGATTTTCCATACATTGTTAGAAGAAAAGTCTGTAAGACTCCCTCCTAAGAGGGACTTTCGTATTCACAGGTGAAGCATCATGTTTTCAATGTGTGCTGAGCACCTACTGTTGTACCAGCCAGTGTTTTAGGTTCTGGAATTCTAGGAGTGGCCAGTATCTGGTGATATCTGATTATCTCCGTAGATGACAGAGAAAAGTCCTTAAACAACATTTATACCTATTTAAACAAATACAAAGGATTATCATCAGTAGGGAAAATTCACCAATGGATACTACTATTAAAAATAGGGTTTTTAAAAAATAAGTAAAAACTTAAATGAAGTCTGACTGAAAGGCATCACTTACTTGTATCATCACCCCCACTACCTTCTGACCTTCATTACTCATATGCTTAAATTGTTAGGGAAAGAAAATTATTCAATAATATAATTGACTCTTGGTTGGCTGCCACTATCCACCTGAATTGATATTTGAGATTTCACCCATATTTACTAAAGAATGCACCCAGATTTATATATCATTCATTACTTAATCAGAATCCAAATCATTTTTTTCGCCTTTCTTCAGCAAATATTCACTTCCTAGACTGAAGACATTTTAAAAGCTAAGTTACCATAGGATATATGTATATGAGAGCTTGAGAAAAGTAATATGAAAGTGATTGAAAAACAGAATTTAGATACAATTGTTTTTCTTCAAGATTAGTTGGGTGAGTCTTTAGTACTGTGAAAGACCAAATGTACCAGATAATTCAGAAGATTATTTTATTCAGGCTATTGCAGTAGGGAGAATGCTCATTAATGAGGAATGTTTCAAAGAAAAGGAAGGGGTCTGAGGTTTTACATAGGTGGATAAACAAGTTGTGTATGAGTCTTAGGGGAGTCATGAGAAGGGATGGAGGTGGGTCTTATGTTGGAATATGCGAGAGCAGGGTTGTTTTATGCTGTTAGCTCTATTCTGAAACACAAAATGATAGAGGGGGTTTAGAGAAAAAAGGTGGGAGGATTTCTTAGCCATCCCTGTTTTCTTGGCTCAGGTAAAGTCTAATATTATCAGTATAAAGGAAGAACAAAAGCCAGATACAGTAGACATAATATACAATTAACGTCTGTTCTTAAGATTTGAGGCAGATATTTGAGTGGACCAACAATTCTGTAACACAGGTTAGAAATGGAGGAAAACAAAGTAATGATTAATAATGATTGTGCAGACTATTCCATTCACATAATATGTCAGACTAAATATTCTGAAAAAAACCCTCTTAATGTAAGCATCTTGATCAATTACAACATGATTTGTTTTCAAAGTTGTTTCTTTAACTTACATGTTAGAATGCTAATAGCATAAAAACTTTATAGCATGAACTGTTTAATTACATTTAAATGCTCAACTTATATAGTTGGGTATTCTCAAGTGTACAAACAAAAACAAAAACAGGAAGCTAAAACAAGAATGATAAATAAATGACTTCCCTGCCAAGGAGGTCAGGGCTGGATCTGTATAATATTGCAAGAAGGTAAATGTCCTTAGGCAGGCTGGAACCCCTGAAGGAACTACACTCTCATTAAAAGACTAAAATAGAAAAAAATCCTGCCTCTTAACAACGATAGCCAACAAATAAAACTATTTCCACCATGTAGCCAAATGGAAAGTAGAAATCATAACAATCATTGCAGTCTTCTCTGAGAATGTGTAACCATAACTCTGCCCTCATATGAGCCTGTTGTTTAATATTATACTATTTGTTGATTTGGAAACCTCAGCCCCAAACACTAAAGTGGCAACAGATTGGTAGGGAGTCCTGGTGCATGGAAGAAGCAACAGTAAACCTTTGGGGGAAATACTTTTGAACACAGACCCCTCAGGATTCCTACAGATTAAGTTTAGACAGATAAGAACTTAATCAAAAATTACCAAACACATGAGAAAATAAACCACTTGACTGACAGGAAGAGGGTTTTGATGTGGTTAGTGGGGAGAATAGAGAAGGCTGCTGCTTCTACTATTTAAAAAAAAAGAAATGTCTGAAAATAACAAATAACAAAGAAAATTATAAAATATATCTTACCAAACATGTTATAAAGCCACAATAATCAAATTAAAATGAGTTGAGCATGTAATAAATAAGTAGATCAATGCAACATACTCTACTAGTAAATTATGATATTTGCATATATGATATTTGCATATTTTGGGGGTGATAATAGGAGTATTTAAATTCATTAGTTACTAATGGTATTCATACAACTGGCCATTAGTCTGGAACTTAAATTGGACTCTTCTCTTACATCATATTCAGGAGTAAATTCAAATGAGTCAGGATTAAAAATTTAGGGGTAAAAATTAAAGTCATGGAAATATTTGGAGGAAATCTAAGAGATTACACTGACAATCTATGGATGAAGGAGACCATCTTTATAAAAACTGAAATCGCAAAAGTTGAAAAAAAATAGTCAAATTTAGCTGTATTAAATTTTTAGTGTGGCGAAGATTCCCTAAATAGAGTCAATAGGCAACAACAACAAAAAAGTAGATTTGGAAAAAAAAAAATTTGCAGCATAAAGGACAGACTAAGGGTTAATATTTATAATTTAGAGTTCTTTTTTTTTTTTTTTTTTTTTTGAGACGGAGTCTCGCTCTGTCGCCCAGGCCGGACTGCGGACTGCAGTGGCGCAATCTCTGCTCACTGCAAGCTCCGCTTCCCGGGTTCACGCCATTCTCCTGCCTCAGCCTCCCGAGTAGCTGGGACTACAGGCGCCCGCCACCGAGCCCGGCTAATTTTTTGTATTTTTAGTAGAGACGGGGTTTCACCTTGTTAGCCAGGATGGTCTCGATCTCCTGACCTCATGATCCACCCGCCTCGGCCTCCCAAAGTGCTGGGATTACAGGCGTGAGCCACCGCGCCCGGCCTAATTTAGAGTTCTTATAAAGGGAAGAGCAAAGTAAACAACCCATCGGAAAAAAATATGCAAAGAAGATTAGAAGAAATTCAAAGAACAAAATCCATATGGCTTACAAAAGGAGGAAAATATGCCTAAACTTTCTAATAGAGAAATACAGATTAACAGTGAAATGAGGTTACATTCATTAGACTAGGAAAGGAAGGAGCCTTTCTAACTTGATGAGATTTCTATATTATTGGATGAGAAAAGCAAGTACAGAAAAGGGTGTATACTATGATTTTTATTGTTATAACAAAAGTTTAAAAAGCTCCTGTCATTACCTGTATGTATAATATGTGTGTATATTTATGTGTATATGTGTATGAGTATATATATATATGTACATATGATCATATGAATATTGAGAAAATTATTTTAAGATATACATTAGTAAGTTAACATAGCTTGTCTGGGTAGAGAGTATGAAAGGAGAGAAAAGAGAAAAGACCATATAAATGTAAAGAACAACTCATTTCTTAAGGGTTTGCTTTATATCATTGTCATGTAACTATATAATACAGTGTGATACCATAACAAGTATAACATAATTAGGATCAGAAAATCCAGGCTTAGTCTCAGCCCCACTGCTCATTAGCGCTATGATCTTAATCAAATGCCTAACCTCTCTGGGTATGTTTGTTGTTCTTTAAAATGAAGGTATGGAGATAGTAAAACCTACTTTATAGAAGGGTAATGAGTATCAAATGAGAAAATATTAATACATGTGAAAGTTACTGGCATAATACCTGTCCTGTAGTAGATGCTCAGTAAATCTCCCTCCTTCCCTTTAAAAAAGTTTAACTTTCCCAGTGTAATTATTGATTTCTAGATTATGTGTGACAATCCAAGAAGCCAACCAATTAAGAACCGAAAATACACATCTGGAAAAACAGACCAGAGAGCTACAAGCAAAGTGCAATGAATTAGAAAATGAGAGATATGAGGCTATTGTAAGAGCCAGAAATAGCATGCAACTCTTAGAAGAAGCTAACCTTCAAAAAAGTCAGGTAAGAAAGCTAGTAAATATGTTTAGATATAATAAAATGTTGACTATTCTCCCATGTGACCTCACAGTAAGGGATTCAATAGCTGTTGAATAAATGCATGAAAATGAAATTGCTACTCTTTTCATTAGTAATCATCCATATTCTTGGATGGTAAAACCAGATATCATCATATGATAAAACATCAATTCTTTTCTAAAATAATGTATAAATATCAGACTTTCTTATTCTCCCAGATGCTGCGTAACTAATCTTCATCCCCTGTAGTCTCATACTTAAAAAAAAAAAACTGTTAACAGTGCTTTACTTCAGTATACCCTATATTTTATTCAGTTGAATCTGATAAATCTTACCCGTCTCTATTCCCCTTCATCATATACTCAATTACTTTATTAAAGCGGAAGCTTAATTAGCTTTAAAGATTTATTTACTGAAGGCTTCATGTCACTGTTCTTTTTTAATTCTCTAACAATTGTGATTCCTGTGCTGTCAAATACAGTGTTCCTTGTCATATACTGCTTCCCTATGAATGATACATTTAAGTTTATTGAAGTCACAAAACAAATGTTTTAATGTTTATTTTGCGGCCTCCCTTATGTAGAGTTCATTAAATCATTAATTTATTTACCAACATTCATCGAATGCCTAGTATATGCAGAATACGGGTACAAAGGAAATGCTTTGTTTTATTTTTATTTCCCTTTTTACAGAGGATTTTTCAAGAGAGCTCTAAAACAGAATATAGTGTAAGTTGGATATTGAGAAGCTCATAAATAAAAAAAGAATTAATTATCTAAATCCTAACTGTGGGGATGCTAAGGTGTTTATCATGCCTTTCAACTAATATTTTCATCTGTGATCTGAATACTGTCTTTTAGAATGGTTAAGAGGAACACAATAGACATAATATGCTTGGGAATTGTGTCGAATACCTAAATCAGCTGGAAAAATTAAGGTCAAGAAAAAATTTTTATCTCTACCCTCTGAAGCCTACTTGTATGAGCACTCTTATACCAAGCCATTAAAAATAAACATCTTGTGTAGAGCACAGTGGACAGAGAAAATAGTAGGAACACTCATTGCCCATCCTCCTCCCAAATCTTCTCACTCAAATCTTAAGTCAACAGACGCTCACAGAGGCTGTCTATGGTTACAATATTAAGCTGCTCTTTGACTCATTGCTTAATTGCTAGAGGGTTCCCATCTTCAGTTGCTTGTTCAAAGTCAAAGGTTCTCCCAGCCGATCACACAAACAAGGCAGGAAGTACAGCCTAGCATAGTTCCCCTTCTCCCCCTCAAGGTTATTACATAAGAACAGCTGTTACTTCTCACTAGCTTACTTGTTTAAGGTGGAGGAATTTTATCTTAAAAAACAATTTTTACAAAAACAGAGGTAAAAATGTGTATGGTACCTTTGGAAGATGGTGGGAACAGAACACAGGGCCATTTACATGTTGATTTAAAATGGATTCAATTTGGCCTAATTGAAGAAGTTCCAAGCCCAGAAAAAGGTTTGTGTTAGAGATGTAAATATGGGGATTGTCAGCATATAAATGATATTTAAAACTGTGAGATTTGATTAGACCACTAAGAGAAGGACAGATAGAGAGGGGGACAAGAAGTGAACCTTGGGTAGTCCAGTATTAAGAGGTTCAGGAGATGAGGAAGAATCAGCAATGTAGACTGAAGAGGAATGATCAGTGAGATAGGAGGAAAACCGGTACTGTGTGTGATGTGCTGAAAATCACATGCAGAAAGTACAACAAGGAGAGGAAAGTAAATATTTCAAGTGCTGCTGGTAAAGAAGTACTGAAAATTTACTTATAGATAATCAATATGGAGATCATGGTGGTGAAAGCCTGATTCAAGGGAGTATAAAAGAGATTGAGAGGAAAAGTCTTGGAGATGAACAAGTTACAGAGTTTTGCTTCTCAGAGAAGCAAGGAAATGGACTGTGACTGACAGCAGAGCTAGGATTATGGCAATATTTATTTGGTGGAGGATGGAAATGATTGGAATTATAGAAATACATCAAAGAGACAAAACAAGTAGTGTCTGCAATGATCAAATTATGAGTTAATGAGTGACATAATTTGAATAATACTAAATAATGGAAAGAGAGAGAAATTCAAGAGATTCTTATAAGGATACAATACCTAGATTTGATTATTTACTTTATATAGGGACTTGAAAAAATGGAAAATTCAACAATGGTTTTAAGATTTCTGGCTGTAGAGATTAGAAGGGTGTTAGAAACACTGGCTGAAATAAATACCATAGAGAAAGTGTCTTTAGTTAGGACAAGGGCAGGTGAGGAGGTTAGGGAAAATAAATATCATTCGTGATTTCAACATGATATTCAAGTAGAGATGTCCCAGAAGTTTTGAATAAGGAAGTGACTAGTGGATAGGTTTTCACCTGTTATTATCTTTACTAATAATAATGTTATCTATAACATGAAATGATTATTTTCTGAAGGCTCTACTTGAGGAGAAGCAAAAAGAAGAAGACATAGAGAAAATGAAAGAGACAGTTTCTCGGTTTGTACAAGATGCTACCATAAGAACCAAGAAAGAAGTAAGGATTTTTAATTATATTTAAAATTCAGAATTTAAGTCACAACTAAAGACTAAATTCTACCTAAATATTTGTAAATTAAAATTAAAATACTTGCCTACATAGTTATAAAGACTCCATATGAAATTATTAACCTAAGTGTTTAAAAACTAACTAAAGGAACTGAGTAAAGGCTCCTTTCCTTTAAAATTATCTCCAGTAGGATAGTGGGATATACTGTATAGCCCTCCACTGGATAAAATAAAGATGTTCCTTTTTTTTCTTTATCTGTATTTTTTGTGGGCAATATTATTTCTCTCCTAGGTGAACTGTAGATTTAAACTGGTTTTCAAAACTTCCATCAGTTTAGAAAAAATAAAGTTAAAATGTTTGCTTTCTCCCAAGCAACTAAGTGGTAGAATTTTTATTTCCATAAAGCCACTGTACAACATTTCTTCCTGCAGAAGTATTTCTTAGAAATCTATTACTTTTACAGAATCATGGTGTAAAGAAAAAAATCTATTACTTTGTCTTATATGACTGAAATTAGATAGTTTCCCAAGATAAAATTTTTAATTTAAGGCAGAGTCCAAAGTAAACCCTGGGCTTTTTAATTTGTCATCTTCTATATCCTTTCTGCAGGAGCTCTGTCTTTCCTATTTGTGAAGTTGAGAGTACTGTAACATTGGACTATAGCCTAAAATATTCTTGATGACATATTTTTAAAATAAATATTAATAAACTTTATACTTTTAATGATAAAAATATTTTATTAAAGTATTCTTGGTATGAGCATTCCTCTAATTGTATTTTCTTATCCTAAAATAAATTCAAATTGATTTTGAGGTTGATGAAGGTCATCTTTTGCATGAAGCTTTAAATAATCTAAGTAGAATTTTTCAAAAGCATTGTGATCTCATTCATTCCAAATGTTTTGCAAACGGAAAATACAGATGCTTCCTAAAATCCAATTATTTCCCTATTCAAATATGTAGTCCTACCAGGCATCTGAAACTCAACATGTCTGAAACTGAACTTACTCTCATAGTCAGTCCCAGATTGTTCCTTCCTTAGGTGTTCCTGTTGATTTCCTGTAGCCAGCCTTTCCCTGCCATTACAGCTATTCACTCAGGAAGTATTTATTGAGCACTTCCTGTGTGCCAAGCATTTTGCTGCGTCTTTGCCCCCTCTGAGTTCCACACTGTTGCCAAGTTGATTTTTTTAAGTAAACTTTTAAAATTATTATTAAAAGTGATATATACTCATTGTAAAAAGAAATGGAAAATATGTATGAGAAAATATGTATAAATGAAAAATATGTATAAAAGAAAATTAAAATTACAAGTTTAATACCCAGAGATAGCACTATTTTTAGCATTGTTCTGTGAATTTCATTTAATCCCAAATTATTCACGGCATGTCCTTCAAATATGTAGAATTAACCTGTTGAATTGAGAATAACTTTACATGTATCTCTTCCTATTGACTAAAGTAAATATAATGAATAAATTGTCACATATTTCTGTTCTGGCTATAAAATTGAACAAAAATATGACGTGGCTTATTTCTTTAAAATATGAAAATACTTTATTTCTTAGATATCTCTCAAATAATTAAAATTTGTAAAAAATATACATTGTTCACTTTTGATTTTAAATCATGGCTGGTGCCATTATTGGATTTTCCTATTTCTTAATAGTTTATCTTACTATTTGGTTTATAAATGTCCTTACTATTCATAAAATTATAGAGGAAAAATGCTTATATAAAGTGAGGTTAGGATGAGAGAAGGATATTAGTCCCTCTACAGACTTCAAAACCCCAATCACAGTAAACTACCTCACTGAAATGTGTGTTTCCTCACATGACAAAAGTTTACATTTTGTTTCATTAGATGCTAACTCTAGGAAATTCCATATGACCTTTGGAGCTTAGAAGTTTACGTATGATATACCATCAGTGTCAATAGTTCTACACAGTCCTTTTAAAAGGCATGAGTAGTTTGATTCGTCTGACTTTGCCAGGATTACTATAAATGTATTTCAAAATATGTACCCTCTTATTGACATAAACCCTCAAGTTAGCTGTATCATTTCTAGATACTGAAAAGAACACATTTTAGAAATTATGTGAGAGAGCGACAGACATGACAGGCTTATAAGAACCAAAATTTTTATGTTATAGGAACATTTATGACTTAATTTCTCTGCCTCAGTCTTCCTCATCTATAATGGAAATAATAACAACCTCATTGGATTTTTGTGAGAATTAATGAGATAATACATGTAAAGCACTCTGAATAGTACCTAACACCCATTAATCCTCAATAAATTCTATCTGTTATTGTTACTGATTTCATAAACAGAATACATTGATTCTTAATATAATTATTCATAGGAAAAGTCTACATCAAATTATAACCTTTAAAAGAGCTGGCCGGGCACGGTGGCTCACGCCTGTAATCCCAGCACTTTGGGAGGCCGAGGTGGGCAGATCACGAGGTCAGGAGACTGAGACCATCCTGGCTAACACGGTGAAACCCCGTCTCTACTAAAAATACAAAAAATTAGCTGGATGTGGTGGCAGGTGCCTGTAGTCCCAGCTGGAGGCTGAGGCAGGAGAATGGTGTGAACCCAGGAGGCGGGGCTTGCCGTGAGCTGAGATCACGACCCTGCACTCCAGCCTGGGCAACAGAGCGAGACTCTGTCTCAAAAAAAAAAAAAAAAAAACTAAAATAGACCCAGAAATAATATGCTTGGCAGGTCTTCAAAAAGATAACACTCATATTAATTAACCATATAAAGTACATGGCAGTATTGTAAATGTTCTAAACAAAGTTTACATCATATTTTCAAAATAGTCCATCTTGTACTAGAAAATTCTCGAAGACCTTTAGATCATAAAATTTACTGATGATATACTATTGGCATCAGTATTCTTCACAGTCCTTTTAAAAAGCATGAATAGTTATTAGAAAAATTTATTGTCATAGCGAAATCCTGATGAGATGTGACTAACTCTTCAAAATGCTCTGTGCACATTAATAGTCTTCTTTCTGAAGATATTTAAATGTTAATTAAATTTTATTAAATGTTACTTATTAAATGTTATTAAATGTTAATTTAAATATCTTCATATGTAAAAGTAATTTAATACTGGGATGTGGTGTGTATTATTTAAAAAGTATTCTGTTTATGAGTCAAAAGCACCTTTAAAGTTTTTTTTTTGTTTTTTTGTTTTTTTTTTTTGAGATGGAGTCTCACTCTGTTGCCCAGGCTGGAGTGCAGTGGCGCCATCTCGGCTCACTGCAAGCTCTGCCTCCCAGGTTCACGCCATTCTCCTGCCATAGCCTCCCGAGTAGCTGGGACTACAGGTGCCTGCCACCATGCCCGGCTAATTTTTTGTATTTTTTTTTTTATAGAGACGGAGTTTCACTGTGTTAGCCAGAATGGTCTCGGTCTCCTGACCTCGTGATCTGCCCACCTCGGCCTCCCAAAACCTTAGAAGTTATTAATTAAATTTTGACTTGCTTTATAGCAGCAGTTCTCAAAAATATTGTTCAGAGAGGCCACAAGGTCACACCTACTTCTATAATTGTAGTTAAGACATCATCTGCCTTTTTCAGTCATTCTCTCACACGTGTGCAGTGTTGTTTTCCAGAGGCTGTATGATATGTGACAACACAATAGGTTGATACAGAAGGAGATATCAGAATCTAGCTTCTATTCAGCCAGACATTAAGGAAATTTGCAAAAGTATTTTAAAAATGCTACTCTTCTCAAAAATTTTTAGTTTTGGAGAATATACTTATTTCTTATAAAAATATTGTTCAGGTTAATCGGTAAGAAATTACTTTTTAAGAGATTAGTAGGTAAATGTCTTTAAATTTTCTGTTTTCATTTCTAATATGGTAGATTTTCATAGAACCCATTATAAGCAAAAGATCTTTTTTTTAATTGTGGGTAAAAGCATCCTATGACCAAAATGTTTGACAACCACGGTCCTTTTGGATATACCATTCTATTCACTCTCCTTCCACTTTCATGGCAAATTCTTGGCTCTTTAATATATTATGTGCTTATTTGTCTTTTATGCCCTAAAAGTTACAATTTTATTTTTATCAAAATTATTATCCTGAGTGTTTTTATCAGATATTAATCATTTTTATTCTAGAACCAAATAATGAGTAAATGTCTTAATTTACAGGTTGCAAACACCAAAAAACAATGTAATATACAAATTTCTCGATTAACAGAAGAACTTTCAGCCCTTCAAATGGTATGTTTGACTATACTGATATTTTCTTCCAAATATTACTTATTTTAAAGGCCAAGATATATACTATTGGGGATTCATTCATTCAAAAGATACTTATTAAACCAAGCCCTGGCTAGGTGCTAAGAAAAAAGTGAAAATCCAGATAGACATGTTTGCAGCAGCCTTGTGGCTTATGTTCTAGCAGGAAAGATAGATGGCATTTATCACATTTTACTGTAACTACCTGTCTTTGACAGAGAATGCACAGGATGCTATTGCTAGCTGTAGCTCCTATCATATGCTGAGTTTATCTGGGAAACCAAGGAGAAAGAGAAAGTATATATAACAGTGGGAAGGAAGAAATACAGAAAGCTTCCTGAAAGAAATGAATACTGAGGAATGAGTAGGCCAAGAGGGGAGAGGAAAAGAATACTTGTGTGGCTAGAGGTGAGATTGGAAATAGAAGTTTAACTTGAAGATTTGATGTAATGAAATTTAATAACCTTGCTTATAGGAGAATAAAAGTATAACAATTTTCAAGAATTGAGAAAATGTTTATAACTTCACAAACTTTCATCTTTTCTGACTCCCTGTATCACTTTTTATCTCTGTTACAAAATTTAGCAATGAATCATATCTTGTAATAACTATCATGCTTTAGGTGTATGTTGAGCATACACACTCTGTCTCTCTCCATGAAAATCTTACCTCTGCAATTAGATTGTAAGCATCTCAACATAGTAGAGTCTTACGCCTTCCTTTATTTTCCCTGTTGCTTGCCTAGTACAGTGTTTTGCAGAGTATATTTTTAAATGTTTATCAACTGAATGGTATATTTAAACACTCTGAAAGAGGGATCACATTTTCTTTCGCCATTCTACAAACTTTGGAGAGCACATGACGGGATCTTAATCATTGTGTATTGGTCCCAAATGTAATAGAACAAGGAATATTTATTTTGTATTTGTTTGTTTAATGTCACTTATTTTAATAATGTAGGAACATCAAGTAAAATTAGTGAGATGCAATGTGGCCAGTTAGTGACATGTAATTTTTTGTTGTTGTGGAGTTTTGCTTCCTTTTCTATCACCCAGTTATTTTGCTTGTTTTCTTTCATGGGCTGATTAGCTATCAAGAGATTCGTATCTTTGTGGAAAAAGAGGAGTAGAAGGGTACTACCCCAGTCCAAGATCATTTAATGGATGGTAAACTCTGCAAGGGCATGAATATTCATTCTTTCTGTATTCTCAAGGGAACAAGGACTGGCTAAGACTTCCAGGGATTTTTCAAATCGTTGTTAGCTGTGTAACAACCAGAGCTATATTAAACTCACTTTAGAGTAAAAAGAATGACAATTTCAGTTTATTGCAAAAAGTGTTTCTTATAGTAAAACAATTCTACTTCATAGCTAAGTGATTTTTCTAAAGATATGAAACATCTCATAGTCATGTTGATTCTATGGGGAGAACTATACTGTGTAATTGAAAAGTTTGAAGTATTATGTTAAAAATATGTTCAAAGGAAAACATATTTGGCTACTTTAAGACAGATTTTCTCAAAAAATCTAAGCTACAGTTTGAAGCATAATAACCTGATGCTTGCTATTGTTTTCTATTATTAACAATTTTACTATCTAGACTAATAGTATTAGTATAATATACTATCCATCTATACTATTTATTTACACTATGAAGTCCAGGAAGGAAGTTATGCATACTTTTGCTGATCCAAAAGTAAGGTATGCTCACAGGAAGGAGAAAAATTTGTATTTTAGATGAGTGTGCAGATTATTTAATAGATTAAGAAAAAGCCGGAGCCATTACATTTCAAGCTACATATCTCCCTTTGGAGACCAACACGTACCTAACAGCCTTTGTTTTCTCTGGTAAGGTGTAGTTTATCTTAAGAATATTCAAGGTTTTATTCTGCCATGTAGCAGATTGCTATTAATCTATATCAAATAAGAAAATTAATTATAAAATGTTCAAACTTACAAAAGTAACATAAAATGTTCATTATGATCTTTTCTTTGATGGATGAATTTTTTGGAAGTCTTTTTTTTAGTTT
This sequence comes from Homo sapiens, assembly GCF_000001405.40. NCBI lineage: Eukaryota > Metazoa > Chordata > Mammalia > Primates > Hominidae > Homo > Homo sapiens. The sequence continues at coordinate 128,950,722 of NC_000004.12, read as the reverse complement.
CTAAATACATGAGGATTTACACTGTCTTTTATTGTTGATTTCTCATTTGGTTAGGTCGGCAGCACAGATCATGGTCTATATGGTTGGTTCTTAATATGTATTGAGACTTCTTTTATAGAGTATTATTTTGGAAATACTCCATGAGTACCTGAAAAAATATCTATTATTTTGTCATATTTTCCCCCAAAGGTAGGCATGTCAGTGGTGATAAGCAAATATCTCTAAAAACTTTGTAATAGTAATTTTTAATGTTTGCTTTAGTATTATAGTGCATTTCTACTAGAATTAGTATGGTAATTCTCTCTAAAGGCTTAAACTTTGCTGTCTCATTTTACCTTTTTTACCCCCAGGTTAACCAAATATTCTTTAGGCCATCATCATTTGTCAGTGAAATGGTGGATTGGGTGGAGAGGGATATGAAGCATACTTACACATGCATTTCTTTATATACCACTTGCCAGCCCCAGAAGTGTGAGCCAGACTTTGTTATTAACATATATATTAAAAATCACATGGGAGGAGTTACGAATGTAGGTAAAATCCCAAATTTAGCACTGAAACTACCCTCTCCTAGATAAGCAACTTACTATATGAATATGTGGAATATTAATGTTGCATTTTGTATACACTCAGGGTTCTATCTTAATAAAAGATATTAAATTTAAATTTGTCAACTGATTTGTAACAGGTTTAAAGATCTTCATTATCATCAATGGTGATTAATTTTGGGTCACAAAAGAAGCTTACTTTAAAATTTAAAAACATATTGAAATACACTTCTTCTATAAAATAATTGAACATCATTAGTACGTAGTGTACAGTTAGCAAAGTGGGTTCCTCCAAAGCATGATTCACAATTAGGGGAAAAAAAAAAAAGAGGAAAAAAAGCCATACCCCACTATTCACAATAGCAAAGACTTGGAACCAACCCAAATGTCCAACAATGATAGACTGGATTAACAAAATGTGGCACATATACACCATGGAATACTATACAGCCATAAAAAAGGATGAGTTCATGTCCTTTGTAGGGACATGGATGAAGCTGGAAACCATCATTCTCAGCAAACTATCACAAGGACAAAAAACCAAACACCGCATGTTCTCACTTATAGGTGGGAATCGAACAATGAGAACACATGGACACAGGAAGGGGAACATCACACACCAGGGACTGTTGTGGGGTAGGGGGAGAGGGGAGGGATAGCATTAGGAGATATACCTAATGCTAAATGATGAGTTAATGGGTGCAGCACACCAACATGGCACACGTATACATATGTAACAAACCTTCACGTTGTGCACATGTACCCTAAAACTTAAAGTATAACAATTAAAAAAAAGGGACAGAAATGCAAATGCACAGAATGAGGGGCACTCTGCAGTGGAGGCCAGCCTTAGTGGGTCGCAAACAGGGTGGGGCAGAGATGACCTCCCCCTGCACTGATTACTGTCCTATTAACATACACATGTGCACCTGTCTCACGAAAAAAAAAAAAAAAAAACAAGCCATACACATTACCCATTCTCCAGAATAAATGTATAAATACAAATAATTGTGAAGAACTAATAATTATGATTTTTTTGTTTTAGGTGCATTAGCAAAATGTTAAATTTTATTATCTAATTGATATGCTTGCTAAATACAGAGTAAAATCTTTTGAGCAGAAATACTTTATGTTCATGCTAATAAAATATTTTTAGTATTTCTGTTGGCTGTAATTTTTGTAAAGAAAAAAGTTAACTTTTTTAGAATTTATACACCCACATATCCTTTAGGCCATAGGTTATCCCTGAGGGTTTTGTGCCACTATCTGGTTCTATGTTCCCTTTTCAAAATACTTGATAAGAGTATATGAAAAGAAAATCTATAGTATGAGAAAGGGGTTCTATTTATTTTTTTCTCCCTGGAATCCCCCAACCTCAGTCTGTTTAATTAGAACTCCTTGGCATCCTACTGCTGGAGGCAATTTCTGCAATCCTGGGTTAGGTTGCTCTTCAAATATTGAGTTTTGTTTTGTTTTTAATCAATATAACCTTAAACTTGTGTTGATAACTATGATATTCCCATTATGAACAAATTATAATTTTTCCCCACTTTTCTTAAGATGTTACCAAATGTATATATTTACAATATGACTTGAATTTATAGGAGTGTGCTGAAAAACAAGGCCAAATTGAACGAGTCATTAAGGAAAAAAAAGCAGTGGAAGAAGAACTAGAAAAGGTAAAAAGAAAAAGGAAATATAACTACCTAAAACCCAACTGCAAATATGCAACATTACTGTCTGCCTCCATCATGCCATCTACTAGCAATTCCTTTATTTGTTAGTATTGTCCTGGTAAGTTTTTCTTTTCTTTTCTTTTTTTTTTTTTTTTTTTTTTTTGCAATGGAGTCTCACTCTGTCACCCAGGCTGGATTGCAGTGGCATGATCTCGGCTCACTGCAACCTCCACCTCCCGGGTTCAGGCAAGTCTCCTGCCTCAGCCTCCTGAGTAGCTGGGAATAGAGGCGTGTGCCACCATGCCTGGCTACTTTTTTTGTATTTTTAGTAGAGATGGGGTTTCACCATGTTAGCCAGGATGGTCTCTATCTCCTGACCTCGTGATCCGCCTGCCTCAGCCTCACACTTTTCTTAAATATATTCAGAGTCTACAGTTAAATACTGATGTTGCCTGGATACAATTCTTTTCCAAGGGCGGCTGTATTCTTTGAACTTTGTACTTAAAGATATAAATTTTGTGAAGTAGTTATATTTCTTGCTTAAACCTCATCCTACGAAATTTCACTTTGTCTTTCCTTTCTTTTTGAGTTTTATTTTAGCTCTTATGGTGCTTAGGCCATCTATAAATAAAACAAGTATATATAACCAGAAAATTATAGCATTGCTATGATTTTTACCTTTTAGAAGTACAGATTTTAATTTCACACTTAGGAAGAATATTTACCCCCGTGATATTTCAGAAAAACTATAGGGAGAACTCCATAGTTTAAAATTCATCTCTTTCATATGCTTTTTTATTAGCAGTAATATCCTGCTCTTGTAAAGTACCTTGGGAAAAGAAAAGGAGGCCAAATTTGATTGAGCACTTACTGTGTTTTAGGTGCTGCACTAAGAACTTTCATAGAGAGGTTAAGTAACTTACCCAATGTTAAAAAGTGGTAAATGGTAGAGTCAGAGTTTGATTTTCAAAGGAGAGCTATGTAGCGTAAAAATTATGGTCTATATCTATTATGAACATGAAAAAATTATGACATCAGTAAAAGAGTAATACACAAAGCAAAACATAATGTACAATTCCATTTGTGAAAAAAAAAATACATGTGTTCAAAATAGGACTTTTGGTTACCACTCTCCTGCAAGGTGGGTCCCTTCTGAGTTTCCATCTGCGTACAATTTCCATTTAGATTGCCACCTGTTACACATCAGGGTTTGGGATGAATGTTTTAACATCACATGGCAAAGGTTAAGGAAAAGGCTTTTGGGGAAATGTAAAACTTACAAGGCAAAAGACAACAGGTAAAGAGAAAGCACAGCGCCTTATTCTCCCACTGTTCCACAGACCAGTGTTCTAAGGTCAAAGTACTGCTGGGTCTGCAGCTTAGATCTGTATTCCAGTAGTGGAATGTTGACGTGCTGATACTCCATGTTTTTATAGAGAGTGACAAAGCAGTCCTGTCAGTGGGGAAGACACAGGTTACTTGGCCAGGCAGTCTAGATTTTGGGGGTAGCTGTGTGCAGGATTTGCTTCAACGTATGAACTGCTTACACCTGGAGACCTTGGATCTCTTAGGATGTTACAGACCTTGTGCTGTAAGAGGGAGCCCCATTGCATGGAAAGCTGAGCTTAGGTACAACCACCACTGCCGAGGAAGGGGGAAGCCCCATCCTAGCTAGATCATTGTCCAGGTAACCCAGAGTGAGATTCTGGAGTCACTTGCAGAGAGTTCTAGTTATTGCACCATGGCATGTATCTTTATTTTTGAATATTGGAAAAGAGGATTGTATTGAACGGTACTCATCAAAGAATCACCAGTGGTTATCTCTAAGTTGACATTTATTTTTACTTCAGCTGCTTTACATTTTTGTATTATTGCATAGTTTACCATGAGCATGAATAATTCCAAAAAAATAAATTCTATTTTTTAAGAGACAAGGTCTTGCCCGATTATCCAGACTGGAGTACAGTGGACATGATCATGGCTCACTGCAGCCTCGATCTCCTGGGCTCAAGGATCCTCCTACCTGAGCCTCCCTAATAGCTGGGACTGCAAGTGTGAGCCACCATGCCCAGCTAATTTTTTAATACTTTTTTTAGATGACAGGGTCTTGCTATGTTGCCCAGGCTGGTCTCAAAACTATTATTATTTTATATATTAGTTTTTAGCATTTTATTTTGTAAATGTGACAGAACCAGATTTAATTATTGATATGTTTCATATGTTACGGTCAGAACAAATGAACACATAATCATGGCTTTTTATTTCTTCCATTGATTTCTGTTTCTAAACTGTTTATTAAGACAGTTTCTTCTGTAATATTATATACCTAATAAGCCTTTTCTGCAGATTTACCGTGAAGGCAGAGGAAATGAGAGTGATTACAGAAAACTGGAAGAAATGCACCAAAGATTCCTGGTTTCAGAGCGTTCAAAAGATGATCTTCAGCTAAGACTTACGAGAGCAGAAAATAGAATAAAACAACTTGAAACTGAGTAAGTTTTTCTTTTGGATTTTCTATGATAACATCTTCAGAATTCACACAATTTTTGACAGATTCGCTACCTTTTCTTTTTTTTGGTAGGACTTACAATATATCTTATGTTGAAAAAAACAATTAGGACCAAATATAATTTTATTCAAGATTATTTCTGAAAGCGAATTTCTGCAGGAAGAAAAGATTTAACAGTAGCATACCATTTTCTTTTAAATGTATCCTTTCTGGCAGTTAAATAGGATGTTTATAATATTGTTGTCTTTGTACCAATTGTGCAGCTATTATAGTAGCTTGCTTATATTCTTTTATACTACCTGTACTTAGTGTATTTCTTGTTATAGTGAATATTCTATAATGATCCATCTTGTATATTTTATTATCTATAAAATGATAAAGTCATAATTTGACATACCATTTTATTTTTCTACCTCCCCACCCCGACGGTATTACCTAATATAGCAAAATTTTCTTATTTGAATTGCCTAAAATCACAATCTCTATATGTGTTCAAAATATATTTTTAATTAAATACTAATACCTAAATTAATAAAGATTTTTTTTAGTAAGAGATCTTGCAAATTTGTTTAATAAATATATGTGTAATTTTCAATAACCTTTTCAGATAATCTGCTCATATGATTACTTCCAGATCAAACCTGCAGGAGGAGCTGGTTTATTCCAGCATAAATCTTGTATGTACTAAGAGACGTATCACACATGAAGGCTTTTCCCAATACCATACATTCACGGGGTTTCTCTCCAATGTGTATATCCATATGTCTCTTAAGGGAGGAGTATTGAATAAAAGCATTCCTGCATTTGTTTTAATTCACATGGTGTCTCTGCATTATGAGTATTTTGCGTGTGTACAGTAAAAGGAGATATCGAAGTCTTCTTTGTGTTCCTTATATTCATAAAGCTATTATCCAGGGTGAACTCTCACATATTTCCTAAAGGGTGTAAACATAGAATAAGGTGCGAGGACTGGGTAAAAGACCTTCCCATGTTCCTTACTTTCAAAAAGCTTCTCTCCAGGATAAATTTTGAAGGTTGAGTGAAGGATAAGGATTAACCCATCTTCTTTAGATTTACCAGGCTTCTTTCCAATATGAGTCCTTTTCTTTCATTAAGGAAATGAGAAATGACTAAAGGCTCCCATGCATTCTTTTTATAAGCAGAGTTCTTCTCCTCAGTATCAGTTCTTACGCGTTCATCAAGACAGGAGGAATTAATGAAGGCTTTCCCACATTCTCCACATACAAAGAGTTTTTCTCCTAAGTTTTCATATGTGCTTTAAAGTATATTTGATGAACTTTTTTCTTAGTTACTTCATTTAAAGGGTTTCTCTTGAGTGCGAGTTCTCTTGTCCATTTCTAATTTCAGGAATGTTTGGAGTGCTGTAGTCTTGCATCTCCTTTAATCTCTGGGAATCCCCTTTTCTGTATTTTTGTTGTTGTTGCAAATAATTTGTTTTAAAAACTGAGTTCTTAGTAATGTAGAGTTTCCTCCACTACATGCCTGTATATTGATGCTATTTACTCTGTCTCATGTAATTCCTAAAAACTAGCAATTAGACCCAGAGGCTTGATCTGGTCTAGCTTTCTTTTTTTGTTGTTGTTGTTTTTGGAAGAATTCTTCATAGATGATGATATTGTGGACGTCTATTAGGAGGCTTACAATCTGTGGTTGTTTCTGATCTCAGCATCTTCTGATGTTAGCATCCTTTTATTATCATTCCCTAGATATGTCATTTTATTAGGAACTTTATCAGCCTAGGTTTAGACAGAAAAAAGACTATGAGTATTGCGGGAATAAAGGATTTAATGTAGGAAACAGTTTACAAGAATGTGGGAGTTGCTGGGGAAGCAAAGATCTAGAAAGGCAGAGGTAGAGATCAAAGAAAATCAGTCACTAACTGTGTTCACCCAAAGCACTGGCAGATATGGGCAGGTCAGCATGCCAAAATAGGACAGAAGGAGTGGTTCATGGTGATAAAACTGCCACCAGGTCAAAGTTGCTTCTTTATTTTAAGAATTTTAAGTATTTTTCTGCTTGCAAAATACTTTTAACTAGTAGTTTTCTTAAACTTTCACAATATTAGTAGCATTTCCATACAATTCCCTGTGAAACCTATTAACCAGGGAATGTTCACAGTGCTTATCTGTTATTGAAAAGATGGAAGTTTTAAAAGATAGGAATAAAAATTAGCAGTATATTGATTTGAAGCAACATTAATGTATAGAGGTTGTCTCACCCAGTGATCAGTGGTCCATTGTTGAGACAGTTCAGGAAATATAATCCGTTTAACCTATGATAAAACAAGAAGTTTACAGAACTAGAAGTTTATAAAAAGTATTTCTAAGACATATAATGGAAAAATATAAAAGTAGATTTTATAATTTAGTAATATAGTCAGCTATTGTGTTAGTCCATGGAGTTTATTGATTAAGTAAAGGAGTTTTGGTTATTATCCGCTTCATCCTTTTTTTGTTGCTTCAGTTCATTTCCTTGAAGTTCTCCATACACAGTGATTCTTAATGTTAGTACAAATTTGAAAGAAGTCTCACATTGATTTTCTAGATAAGTGATAACAGTTCAATTCATCTGTTCTTAGTTAAAATTTGAATATATTTAAGTTGAATGTATTTGCCTGGTATAACATAACATTTTGAAACCACATAGTTTCAGTCTAAAGTGGAAAGAAATGGCTCAGAATAAAGCAAACAAAAGTCCATGTGATAAAATGTAGACAGACTTTTATCTTCTACTATAGATCATTAAGTTTAAGGATTCTTTTCATTTCGTTTTTTAATCAGCTCCTCAGAAGAAATATCACGTTACCAAGAAATGATTCAGAAACTTCAAAATGTATTGGAGTCTGAGAGAGAGAACTGTGGGCTTGTCAGTGAACAAAGGCTAAAACTTCAGCAAGAAAATAAACAGTTACGGAAAGAGACTGAGAGTTTAAGGAAGATTGCCCTGGAGGCTCAAAAAAAAGCCAAAGTAAAGGTATTTTCAAGACTAGAGTTAAATGTGTACTTATGAAAATCAAAGTATAGAGAATATTTAGAGAGACCTAGCAAAACATCTTTAAGGCCCCCTTTTTTTTTGCCTTCTCATCAGATAGCACTAAATCATAATTCAGAGTGTTAACCAATCATTTCTGTGTTGTAGAACTTGGCAGGCATACTTGAAAATGATTGCCTTTGCTACACACAAAAAAATTCTTTTCCAACCACGAAATATACTGATATTCCTGCCAAAGCAATTTAAGCAGCACTAGCAAAACCATGGATTAGATAACTTTACAGACTGCCTTCCTCTCTTCTCTCTCTGTAGTAGCCTTTGAAAAGTTGAACTTCTCTAAAACTAACTGTATAGAGGATGTTAAAGCAGTAGGCTCTGAGAACCATTCATAACTAGTCTGAAAATTCCATGGCAGGAAGAAGGCAAGAGGCAAAAATGTCATCTAAAACAAATTCCCTTTCTTTTCTCTCTTATTTCCTTCTCCTCTGATGCTTATATGGTTTGGTAATAGGAAGGTGATCCTCTTTTTAAGGGACTTTCAAGTAACACAATCTTCATCAACATCTTGCTTACCTTTCCCCATGTCATGAGACTTTTGTAAAAAGTGGCACTAACTTTTTATGATAAATATCTACATCTTCCAATTTCATAGTAAGAATATGAAGAGGTCATGTCACTGTTTTATTTTGGTTTTTATTGCTGCAAGGACTCCTAAGAAGTCATATTCCAACCTAATTCATGTCAACATAAATTTATTGAATGCCTCCTATTGCAGGTATGAAATGCCCTAGTTATTTGTAAAACCTTGAACTCCGAAATGAAAAAGAGAGTCTTATTTAAAAAGAAGTTTGTACTTTGACCTTTAGACTATGGGAGTTCTTTGAAGAACAAGGAGAGGACCCATACCGCCAGATATCAAGACTTGATAAAAAGCTAAAATAATTTAGACAATGTGTTATCAACATAAGAATAATCAACTTGATCAATGGCAAAAAATTGAGTCTAGAAACAAACTCATTTATCATAATCACTTGATTTATAACAAAGGCACCATTGCAGTTCAGTGGGGGGAAAACTGGCTTCACAAATGGTGCTAGATCAGTCAGATCCATATTTTAAAAATAAAACTTAACTCCTATATCACAGCATATATGCAAATTAGTTGGAGCTGCTTTGTAGACCTAAATGTGAAATGTGAAATGATAGTTTCTAGGAGAAAATCTTCTTGCCTTTGGGTTTGAAATATTTCTTAAACAGAGCACAAAAAAACACTAACCATGGTGAAAAATCCAAGCTGAACTGGATTTCACTAAAATTAAGATATTTTTAGTCACCAAAAGACACCATTAAGAAAGGGAAAAGTGGGAGAAAGTATTTGTAGTGCATATAACCAAAAAGAGAACTCATATCCAAAATATAAAAACTTTTACCAATTAATAAGAAAAATATTAATAAGGAAAAAACAGCTAATAGCTAATAAAGAAAAAAATAGATACTCCATTTCCAGAAAAGGCCAAAAGACTTAAGTAGGCACTTCATAAAATAGCATATAGGCAAATATGTTCAACTTCATTATTTTTTAGGAGAATTTAAATTAAAACTACAAGATAACACTACACACCACCAGAATGGCTAAAATTAAAAAGACTAAAAATATCAAGTATTTTTAAGAATATAAAGCAATTAGAACTTTGATAGATACTGCTGGGAATGTAGCATTATCTTTTAAAGCCAGACATACATACATCCTGATACGGTTTGGCTGTCTTCCTACCCAAATCTCATCTTGAATTGTAGTTGCATAATCCCAGTGTGTCATGGGAGGGACCCAGTGGGAGGTAATTGAATCATGGGGGCAGGTTTTCCCATGCTTTTATCTAAAGAGCTTTTAAAAATATAAGAGAAAACTATTTGTAACCGAATAAAAAATCATGTGAGAGTTGAACAGAATCTGCAATCTAAGAAAAAAAAACAGTAGGCAGTAAGCAGTTTAAACTCACCATTAATTAATTGCTAAGTATCTCTAAGTGAACGTGCAGCTAAAAGTATTAAATGGTACGTATTTACTTTAGAGTCTAAAATTCAGTCATAAGAAAGTAATTAAAATATTTCATAAATAAGTTCATTGCAGCATTATTTATAATAAATTAGAAACAACCTAAATATCTAGAAGTAAATATGTTACATCTATATGTATAGTAAAATTATGGAAAATACAAAACATTAAAAAAAATATATAAAGTCCCTCTACTCCCAAAACTCAGATAATACTTCTAACTTCTACATAATTGCTTTTATTTATGAATTTTAAAATTGTTACTATAGTGTATAAAGGATTACTACCTGTGTGTACACATATGTATTTTTGACATATAGTGTATATGTTTTTAATAAGATACTGTATTGTCATTAAAAACTATATTTCCAAATAATTTATAATGCATTTATATTGATACACCCTATGATTGAAAAATTTATGTGTATACACACATACATGTAGTAATCCTTTACATACTGTAATAACAATTTTAGAATTCATAAATAAAAACAATTATGTAGAAGTTAGAAGGGATTATCTGAGTTTTGGGAATAGAGGGACCTTATAGTTGTCTTTTTAATGCTTTGTATCTTCCATCATTTTATAATATATATTTGTTTTGTTTTCTTTTTTTTAATCATGGGTGGGGATGGAATCAATGAATTTTCCCTATCTAGTACTCCAGTTGATCCGTCTTTAACATTTCACTTTAATGCTTTGTTATTTTCCATAATTTTACAATATGTATTTGTTTTGCTTTCTTTTTTTTATAATGAGTGGGGATGGAATCAATGAATTTTTCCTATCTAGTACTCCACTAGATCCGTCTTTAACATTTCAGGATAGTAACTGATGTTATGGACAACAAAAGAGTAATAGAAAGTTTATCTACCCCACATATCTCACCAAATCTGTATCTAGCTTAAGAGAATAGCCATTGATAAAGAGCCGAACGTCTTAACTAACTAGCTATAATTCTATTTTATGGAGGAAGAAGGCTGTAAGATAAATTGCTTTGTAACTGATTCTTTCTTTGACAAAATAGGAACCTGGTGCACCTACACCTTGCTGTTTTTCTCCCTCTTGCAAAAGAGTATGATCTTCAGTAGATAAACTGAAAGAAGCCAAAAAGATAAAGACAGTGAGATATTGGGAGGTCAGTTGGCTACAAACCTTAACAATTTATCATATGAAGTTTTCATTTGATCTTAATGCCACTGCATTGATTTCAGCCCTCGCTTTCTCCTTTTCTAACCACTCCTTTTGCCAGGGCTCTCCATTTCTTCATGGTCTAAATTCCGCCTCATTACCATCTAAAATTAAGAAATGGAGTCGTTTCCAGCAATTCAGTTATCTACTTGTGTGGATATTTCTCTGTAAAGGAAGGAAGAAGCAAGAAAGAAGAGAGACCATAAAACCCCTTTTCCCATCCAACATTCTGAATTTTATCATTAATAGAATTTTTGTAATCGGAGATCAGTTGTTGTGGCCCTTAGCCTGTCAGCATTACCACAGACCTGTCCAATTTAGGTAGTAATTCGAATTGTATATACTAAAGGCTATGGTGCTTGTTCGAGACTGAATTTTGACATCAAAAAGCCACCATTCAATCTGCAAATATGTTTTGACAACCGTACTGTGTTCCAAAAGTTGAAATAGGTAAGCAGAAAGAGATTATTTCAGGCAAAAGAAACAGCATGTGAAAAGAACCAAAGAATAAAAAGGCATTATAGTGGAAATAAAAGAAAGGCAAGGGAATAGTGTGGCACAACACAAGCTTGTAAAAGTAAGCAGGGACCAGGTTATCATAAAGGGTCTTAAAGCAAAGCTTGTGAAACGATAAATAGATTTTCCAAGTGAAAATGGGGAGTTAACTAGGCAGCCAAATTCTAAAACTGTACAGATGCATAGATCAGTTTTGTGTGCATATGTGGTTTGTTGTTGTTGTTGTTTTTGTTGTTTGTTTGAGAAGCTCTGTTGCCCAGGCTAGAGTGCAATGGCGTGATCTTGGCTCACTGCCACTGCCACCTCCCAGGTTCAAGCGATTCTTCTGCCTCACCCTCCTGAGTAGCTGGGATTACAGGCACCCACCACCTCGCCTGGCTAATTTTTGTGTTTTTAGTAGAGATGGAGTTTCACCATGTTGGCCAGGCTGGTTTCGAACTCCTGACCTCAAGTAATCTGCCTGCCTCAGCTTCCCAAAATGCTGGGATTACAGGCATAAGCCACCACACCTGGCCCATAGATCAGTTTTTAACATGTGTTCATAAGAAAGAACTCACAGGGGCTGTACTTTTTGTTTTCCACCTGAGATGTTAGACCAACATGACTTCTCCAGAGGAGATGAAGATTAAGGAAGGGAAGGAGAAAGGGCAGGCAATCTAAATTTGCAGAATCTAATAATTCAAAAATTATTAAGATAGCAGCAGGGGTCAAGTGGCCTCAGGAGGCTTGCACAGCAGTAATACAACACAAAACTAACACATCCAAGATTGGTTTTCCAGTGTCTGTATTTATAAAGTCTTCAATTTCTGCATGTGTACTATTTGAGAAAGCAAATTGAAGAGTTTTAGGAAGCATTTTGCATTTAGCAGGGGTGGCAAGGACAGAATGTTTGCAGTTTGCTCCAGTGAGCCAAGAATTTTGTTGTTGTTGGGCCTTGTTTTGTGTTTTTTGACACACTAAAGTTGATCTCATTGTTTTTTGAGTTTGAAAGTAACCGTATTTAATGAATTACTCTCATTGTTTTTTGAGTTTGAAAGTAACTGTATTTAATGAATTACTAGAAGTCTAGCCAGCTGTGGACATTTGTAAAGCAATTAAAGTATCACAAAATAAGTGTTCTTTATACTTCTTTAGTATAGCAAAATATAGATGGCCTGAGAGTACAATAAGGAAGTCAAATCACCTTGCTGCCTTTTTCCACAAGTGTTTTTCATCTGAACCACAAAACATAGAAAAATATTGCAGTAACTTTTTTCTCAATTTCCCCAAAAATGGTACTTAGGTAGTTACATTGTAGACACAGATGAAAGAACGCAAGTCATTATATACATTGGATGCCTTAAAGCATTAGGGCTTAATTCTCTCCCTGAACCCCAGCAGAGAAAGCTTCTAGGGTATCCAAAGAGCATTTACTTATAAGTTCATGCTGCAATTAAAGTGCTTTTACTATAATGACATAAATTCTTAGAAGTGTACTGAAGACATTTTCGTAAGAGATTTTCAAAATCATTGTTTATATTGTCTCTTTCTCCTGAAAAATAATTCATTCATTAATCATTCACTAATACTGGAGCTGAAGTGGTAAAGAAATTCCTGTATATAATTATCTTTGACTTTACAAAGCCCTTTGAAAGAGTTTCAAATTTAGTATGTAAGTCAAAAGTGGTTTGAGTAAATACTTAACTCAGATACCAACAGCATCAACACTTTCCTTGGATTCTGGCAACAGAAATCAGAGTAAATAAAGAGAGAAGTGTTATGTTATAATAAATAGACTTTTCTTTTACTGGCATTTTAAGGTGTTAGGGAAAGTGTTGCAAAAATATATAGTTCATCATAATTCTAGTTTTACTGACATAACATTATAAGTTTTCGTTTGTAATGAAGACCAATTGTAAACTTAATTTCTTTTTTCTTTTTTCTTTTTTTTTTTTTTTGAGACAGAGTCTTACTCTGTCACCCAGGCTGGAGTGCAGTGGTGCGATCTCAGCTCACTGCAACCCCCACCTCCTGGGTTCAAGCGATTCACCTGCCTCGGCCTCCTGAGTAGCTGGGATTACAGGCGTGTGCCATCACGCCCAGCTAATTTTTGTATTTTTAGTAGAGATGGGGTTTCACCATGTTGGTCAGGCTGCTCTCAAAACTCCTGACCTCGTGATCTGCCCACCTTGGCCTCCCAAAGTGCTGGGATTACAGGCATGAGCCACCGCACCTGACCAAACTTGATTTCTTACGTAGTTTTCTCATCCAAACATTTTTGTCCCTCAGACAACATAATGAATGATTCCTTTTGTATATATCATTGATCTGTATAGCACCTATAAGAAAAGAAAAAGAAAATACGTTTTCATTTTATTCTTTAGATCAGTACAATGGAACATGAATTTTCAATAAAGGAACGTGGATTTGAAGTTCAATTGAGAGAGATGGAAGACAGTAATAGAAATTCCATTGTTGAACTGAGGCATCTCCTAGCGACTCAACAGAAGGCAGCCAATAGGTGGAAAGAAGAAACGAAGAAACTTACTGAAAGTGCAGAAATTAGAATCAATAATCTAAAGTAAGTCTACTGTTAGTTGTTTGACATGTTTTACAGAAGAAATTCTTTAACCTATAGTTTAATGTCCTTGCCATAATCTTTTTTAAAAAATGTATAATTCTGGACCTTACCTTTTTCTTCAGTAAATATTTATGAAACTACTATAAAAATATTATGTCATAAACCAAAGCAAATATTATATTTTTTACAAATTTCATGCATGTTTCAGAAAATGTAATAGTTTTTGTTGGATATATTAGTTTAGATAGTTGCAACAAAATCTATTTCGCCTGCAAAGCCTGAAATATTTGTTCTCTGGCCCTTGAAAAAAAATTCTCTGACCCTTCCTCAGATGAACTTGAGATTTTGTGTTGAATGAGATGGGAAGCTCAAGAGCTTCAACATAGGAATGAGATCAGAGGGCTTTGAGCAAAGTGATGTGATCAGACTTAAATGTTCAACAGATGAATGTGATCACTGAATGATCTACTATATCACCATATGATTTACTATAGTAAACCTAAAACTACTCTAAAAAATAAAATCTATTAAAAAAAAAGAATAGACTGTAAAGAGGCAAGGGTAAGAGAAGGGAGAAAGAAACTAGTACTATGATAGTCCAAGTATAAAATGGTGGTGGCTTAAACTAGGTTATAAAGGGTTGGAGATAATCACGGGAAGTTTGCTTTGGGGTGTTAAGTATGAGCTGCCCAAAAGATATTTAAGTCAGGATATCAACTAGTAAATTATGTATGTAAGTTGATATTCAGGGAGGAGATTACAATAAGAGCTATAAACTTGTGAATCATTAACATACACATGATTTTTAAAGTCATGGAATGAGAACATGTTGAAAAAGAGGATAGAGAGATGGAAACTGTGTGAGGACTGAGTTCCAAAATGTAAAGTTTAGGAAAATTATTCCACTGAGAGAGACTGAGAAAGCATATCCAGAGAAATAGAAATAAAGACAAATAGTAAAAATCAAAAATAAAAATTCAGAAAAGGAATAAGCAATAATGGGTGATATTTATTGAACACTTAATGTGTGCATTTTTCTAAGCAACTTACATGTACTTAATCTTTACAGCAACCCCACAAAGTGTATAACATTATTAATCATGTTTTACAGATAGCCAAACTGAGGCCAAAGGAGGTTAAGGAACTTGTATAAGATCACATAGATAATGAATACACAGATCTAGGTTTTACATTCAGTTTGGGTAAAGACACTATGCTCTTAACCATTATGTTTTATAAAAATCTGTTATTCATTGGTTGAGTAAGGTAAGGACTGAGAATGGACCTTCTAATTTGATATCATGTGGTGACTTTGTTAACCATAATAAAAGGAGTTTTGGTGGAAGGTTGGAATGACATATATTTAAAATGAAAGAGTTAGTGGTGAACTAGGCAATTCTAACCAACCCTCCACCACAAGTAAAAAAGTTGAATTATACAAAGCATCTACAAAGAGCACTAAAGAACTAACAACAAAAAAAAATCATTACCAGTTAGGCTCAATGTCAGGGATGCAAAGTTGGTATAACATTAGAAAATCAATATAATTTACAACATTAACTTATTAAAAGAGAAAAATCATAAGGTCTTTTCAATAGATATAGAAAAAGCATTTGATAACATTTAATATTCCTTCATGGTTATTTTTTCAAAAATATTCCTTAAAAAACTAGGAATAGAATTTCCTTAATTTTCTAAAGGCATCTATTCTATAGCAGACATTGTTCTTAATGGCAAAAAATAATGTCAATAACATTCTTTTGAAGACTGACAAGATGTCAAAGAAGTTCACTATTACCATTTCTATTGATCTTTGTACTGGAGTCCTAATCAGTGCACTAAGGCAAGAAAAAGAAATAAAAGGTTGACAAAACCGAAAGAAAGAAAACAGCCACTCTTAACAGACAACATGGTTGAATATGTAAAAAACCCAAAATAATTGTTAGACAAATTATTAAGTGAATATAGAAAAACCGTTTGTAATCTTCATACCAGTAACAAACATTTCAAAAATAAAACTTTAAAAATAATTTATAATTACATCAAAAAACATCAAATACCTAGCAACAAATCTAACAAACAATATGTAAGACTTTTGTTTGAAAACTATATATAATATTAAGAGTAATTAAAGAAAGTCTAAGTAAAGGCAGAGACCATGTTTATTAATTAGAATGCTAAATATTATAATTATGTTCATTCTCCCCCACCAATATACCTATAGATTCACTGTAATCCCAGTTAGAATCCTAGCACATGGAGCAATATCTGAAGTATATTAAGTTAAAAAAAAGTAATATAACAGTATGTATAGTATTCTACTTATTATCTAAGAGTGAGGAGTGCATGTGCCTGTGTGTGTTTATATACATGTATGTATATAAACCAACATATGTACACACATTTGTGTTTTTAAAAGTGAAGAGGTGAGCCAAAAAATAATTCAAAGGTAATTTCTGAGAGGAGAGAGCGGGACAGAATGAAGGCTAGACTTCTTTGAATGAACCTTGTTTTGTAGATTTATAAGCTTAATTTTGGAACTATATAAATGTTTATATAATTATTTTTTGAATTAAATCAAAATTTGAAAAGCAATACCTAAAAATCAAAAGTAAAATTAAACAAATTAACTTAATTATATAGGAAGTTGATGGCTTAACTACATAGATGAATTATTTCAAGTGATATTAAACATAGTAATTAGACTGTGTGGGATAAAGCCTAAGGATTAAAGGAAATGCAAGAAATCATAAACTGTTTCTAGTAGTCATATTGTTAGAAATAATATTCATGGTGGTGTTCTGAAACTTATAATTATAGGATAAGGCAGTTGAGTTATTATAAAAGTCTTTAAGAAACAAATTTTTCATCATAAAAGAGAAGAAACTCAAATTGAATAAACTTGTAGTTCTAAATTGGAATTGGAAATAAGAGTTTATGAACTCAAGATGTATTTTACTCGTTAAGAACGTGTATTCTCTAGTTCAGTCTTTTCAGTAAACAGTAAAAACAAGACCAGTATTCAGTTGCAATGAGGTCTCCTAAAAGAAACTAGGACTCTTTGGAAAAATGATTGATTACAGATTTGGGACAGGAGAGTACAAGATAAGCCTAGAAAATACTTTGTCATCACAAAAAGCAAAGAGAAGGTATCAAGATTACTGGGGTCACATCAAAATGGCCCATGGACCAACTTAAGTTAGCTCCCCCTGGCCCATGTGGGGACTATCTGGATATCAAAAAGAATATGTGCAATAAATTGAAACATATCAAACATATTTTTTAAATTCATGACTTCAAAATGGTTTTAAGTAAAGAAAAAAAAGTCTTTGGTCACCTTTGGAAGATGCTGTAGATTCAATTCATTCTAAAAGAAAAAAATGAATAAAAGGAAAAATCAAGTGTTTATTCTACCTTTCCTTTGTTCACTGTATGTTATCAAATGCCATTTGGTCTTTTGTGCCATAATAGCCCTAGTGTGAAGCCTCCAACTTTGTTTTTCTTTCTCAAGATTGTTCTAACTGGGGTCACTTGTGGTTCCATACAAATTTTTGGATCATCTTTTCCATTTCTGTGAAAAATGTCATTGGAATTTTGATAGGCATTACATTCAATCTGTAGCTCACTTTGAATAGTATCGACATTGTGACAATATTAATTTCTTCAGTTCATGAATACAAGATATCTTTCCAATTATTTGTGCCTTCTTAAATTTCTTTTATCAGTTTTTGGTAGTTTTCAATATAGAGATTTTTCACCTTCTTGGTTGAATTTATTCCTAGGTATTTTATTGTTTTAGTAGCTATTGTAAATGGAATTGTTTTCTTGATTTCTTTTTCAGATAGATTGCTGTTAATGTATGGAAAATGCTACTGATATTTTGTGTTTTGAACATACAGTTTTACTGCATTTGTTTATGGCAGTTTTTTGATGAGGTCTTTAGGGTTTTATATATATTAGATCATTTCATTTGCAAACAGGGACAATTTAACATCTTCCTTTCCAATTTGATGCCTTTTATTTGTCTTGCCTAATTTCTCTGGGTAGGACTTTCAGTACCATATGGAATAGAAGTGGCAAAAATGGGCATCCTTGTCATGTTTTTGACCTTCAGAGGAAATAATTTTAATTTTTCACCATTAAGTATGATGTTAGCTGTGGATTTGTCATATATACCATTTATTGTGTTGAGGTACTTCCCTATTTTGGGTAGGAAATATGTTTTTTAGAAAAAAATCAAAGAATGATCTCAAAAACTATAGATATTTTAGATTTTAACTTAGGTTTTATACATGTATATTTTAATATATAAGGTTAAATATATTTAACCAATAAACACTTTAATTCATGCCATGAATATCTTATAAATTCAATTTTTATTACTAAATCTTATTTTAAATGTTCTGTGGTTTATACTTTTTAAAAAACCTATAATGTAGGTACTCTAGAAAGGAAATTTTGTTTCAGTTTTGTTTTTAATTACAGACAAATCTATTATTGTCATGAATTATTCCTCCTCAAAAGCATAAACTGAGGCAGAGATCTGGTATGGGAACAAAATGTGGGTGTTCCCACATATGGCAAATGCTAAAGATTAAAACAAAGTAGAGATGAGAAAGAAAAGGACTTGAATCAATTTAGAGGAAGATGGACAACATACCAGTGATATTAAACCAGATGGGCTATAATTGTTAAAAAAAAAAAAAGGGATAGAAATATAATAGATTTTAGGAATAAATATAATTATCTGGCTTGAGAGTTGAAGGTAAGAAATAAGCTACAGAAGACAGGATTCAAAGCTCAGCAGTGAATAACAATTTACTGGAACATACATTTGTAACCAAAAATTAATCGTAAATGGAATCTTTAATGATTTCTGATTAAAATTCTGTAGGCCGGGTGCGGTGGCTCACGCCTGTAATCCCAACACTTTGGGAGGCCGAGGCGGGCTGATCACGAGGTCAAGAGATCGAGACCATCCTGACTAACACAGTGAAACCCTGTCCCTACTAAAAATACAAAAAATTAGCCGGGCGTGGTGGCAGATGCCTATAGTCCCAGCTACTTGGGAGGCAGAGGTGGGAGAATGGCGTGAACCCGGGAGGTGGAGCTTGCAGTGAGCCAAGATTGTGCCACTGCACTCCAGCCTGGGCGACAGAGTGAGACTCCCTCTCAAAATAAAATAAAATAAAATTCTGTAATAGCAAATGTTTATATAATGAAATATATCTGCATTTGTTGGCTTCTAAGAGGCAACAAATCTCGACAATAAAAGATAGTCGAATGCTGAAATCTAAGAAAGAAATACACAAAAGGCAGTTCCTTTTTAGTCATACTGTCGAATTACTATTCCCACAGAGATTATTCTGATTTGCTCTTTGCTGCTCAGTAATTTTATTATTAGCTTTACTGCTGAATTACTAATCTCTTTTTTCTGAAGCTCTCAATTTTACCCATTGGAGAAAAAAAAAATTACAATTTCCAACCCCCCAAAAACCTTCTGCCTAGTTTCTATTTCTCTCTCTCTCCCCCCACCACTCAGTCCTTCCTTCCCTTATTGGCTTTTAGATGCCTATGCCTGTATTTAAAGTGAAAATAGTTTCTCCTTCTCATTTCCTCTTCTTCTCTACATTTTATTACCAAGCTTATTTTATCCAGATGTTTGAATAATTTTTCTTTTACTTTCTATTTTTATGTACTCACAAGCTTCAAAGAAACAAGCCCTTCTGATCTTATCAAATTCTTTTTTTAAAGATATTCATTCCTTTACTATTAATTATCTGTTGAATTCTTCACTGCACCCTCCTGCAGCTTTACATCTTACCTGGTATTTGCCCTCGTTTTGTAACTGTCGATAGAACATTTACCATATGTCTTGTTATTATCTTAATTTCTACATTTCAAAACTCAATTTATATTACATTTTCCAAATTGATTTCTTCTTTAACCGTCTTTCTTCATTGATACCACTATTCCCCTAACTCCTGGATATAAAACCTTATAGCCATCTTTGACTCATTCTTTGTATTTATCTTCTTTCAGTAACCGAGTCCTATTGATTCTTCTTTTGAAACGCCTTCTATCTTTTCATTCCCACTTCCGTGACTCTAGAACTGCATTAGTTACCTATTTCTATGTAACAAATTACCCCAACATTTAGTTCTTAAGGAAAACATTTATTATTTTATAATTTAATGAGTCAAGCGTTTACTCATGAAATAATTGGAAGTGGCTTATCTGGGTGAATCTGACACAAGGTCTTTCATGAAGTAGCAATCAAAATGTCATCTGAAGACTTAATGGGAGCTGGAGGATCTGCTTCCAAGATTGCTTACACCTCCGTGGATAGAAGGCCTAAGTTCCTATTTATGGCCAGATACCTCACTTCCTAGCCCTGTGACCTTTCCACAGAGAAGTTTGGTATCCTCATGACTTGGCAGCTGTCTTCCCTCAGAGCAAATAATTCAAGAGAAAGCAAAAAGACGTAATGCTTTTTGTGACCTAGTCTCCTAAGTCACATTTTTCTATTCATTAGAAGTGAGTTGCTAAATCCAGACCACATTAACAGTAAGGGGTTTTAGGGCCTACCTTCTGAAGACATGAATCTCCAAGAATTTCTGGACATATTTTATAACCACCGTAAGACCAAATCTGTGTATTTTACTTGTGTACATACTTGCTTATATTGTCCTTTCACCTCATCTTTGCATGTAAATTCCTTGATCTTGAACTTCTCAAACTCTAAAACAGTGAGAAATAGATTTCTCTTTTTAACCATCCAGTTTATGGTATTTTGTTATAACACCATGAATAGACAAAGACAACAACACAGGATAGATGCAAGTCAACTTCTGTTTTTCCCATGTTGTAGCCATTCATCCCTGAAACATTTAATGACAAGTCTCTCTTTTCCTTGCTATTATACTTTGCACTGCCCCTTTTGTCATAATTTGTGTTCATATGTGTGTGGATCTGTTTCTGACATCTCTTTTATGTTCTTTTGGTTTGTTTGCTTATCCTTGTGTCAATACCACACTGTCTTATTTATTATACCTTTGTAAGACACTTTTGAAACAACTACAAGATTTGAAAAGTGACCTGATACCTAATTACAGCCATTTCTCTTACCTTGTTCTTTTTTGTAAAAGTATCTTACCTATTCTTGGTTCTTGGCATTTCTGTATTCATATTAGAATTGTATGTCAAGTTCCTTAAATAAATTTGATGGAATTTTAGTTTGAATTCTGTTGACTCTATAAATAAATTTAGAACAAGCAACATAATTAAAATTTTTATAATATTAAGTCTTTCAATCTATGGACGTGAAATAACTCTCCATTTGTTTAGGTCTTCTTTAATGTCTCAGTAAAGTTCATTTCCTTGTAGAAATCTTACACCTTTGTCAAATTTATTTTAATTTCATTTTCTCATCATTGTTTATACACAGAAATGTGAAAGCTATTTGTTGCTGATGATACTTTCTTTAACCAGTGACCTTACTTAGGACAAAAGCTGTAGAATCTTTTGGATTTTGGTCATATCATCTATCAATAGAACAGTTTTAT
Organism: Homo sapiens; assembly: GCF_000001405.40. NCBI lineage: Eukaryota > Metazoa > Chordata > Mammalia > Primates > Hominidae > Homo > Homo sapiens. The sequence continues at coordinate 128,929,089 of NC_000004.12, read as the reverse complement.
CTCTTTCAAATAACTGTATGTTTTGTTTCTCTTTCTTGCTTATTGCACTAGCTAGGACTTCCAATGCAATGCACAGAGTAGGGATAATCAGGATTCTTATTCTTGTTCCCAATCTTAAAAGGAAAGCTTTCAATTTTCATCATTTCATATAATATTTTCTGTGTTTGGTGATAACCTCTATCACATTCAGGAAGTTTCCTTTTGCTATTACTTTACTAAGAGCTTTTATCACAAATATTAATTTTTTTTTTTTTTGCGAGACGGAGTTTCGCTCTTGTTTCCCGGGCTGGAGTGCAGTGGCGCGATCTCAGCTCACTGCAACCTCTGCCACCTGGGTTCAAGTGATTCTCCTGCCTCAGCCTCCCAAGTAGCTGGGATTACAGGCATGCACCACCACGCCTGGTTAGTTTTTGTATTTTTAGTAGAGATAGGGTTTCACCATGTTAGTCAGGCTGGTCTCAAACTCCTGACCACAGGTGATCCACCTGCCTCGGCCTCCCAAAGTGCTGGGAGCCAGCATGCAAAGCCTACAGATATTAAATTTTATAAAAGCTTTTGCTGCATTGTTTGGGGTGATTATTTGAATTTGTTCTATGTAATCTGTTAATGGGATAAATTTTATGGATTGATTTTGCTAGTGTACCAAATTTTCATTCCTGTGACAAAACCAACATGATTGTAATGCATTCTCCTTATATATATTTCTGGATTTGATTTGTTAGAATTTTATTTAATATATTTTTATCTATGTTCATGAGAGAGATTGACTGAAATCCTTTCTTGAACTCTCAAGTTATATCAGTTATGTTAGCCTCAAAAACAAATTGGAGAGTAGCCCTTCTTTTTCTGTAATCTCGTATATTTTACGGAGTATTGGAAGTGTTTATTCCTTGAATATTTGATAGAATTCTCCAGTGAAATCTCTTGGCCTGGAATTTTGTTGTTGTTTTTGTTGTTGTTGGGTTTTTGTAGGAGTGTTTTTTTATCGTTGAGTCAATCAAAATTTCTTGAACAGTGATAGAATTCTTCAGATTTTATATTTCTTCATTGACATAGTTTTGGTAAATTATATTTTTATAGATATATGTCAATTTCTTCTAAATTTTTAGTATTTTTGGATGTTTTTCATATTATTGTCCATTTAATGTCTGCAGCATCTGTAATACTTCCTTTTGCATTCCTGATATTATTGTACCTTGTCTCTTTTTTTTGTTATCACTCTTATCAGAGTTTCTCAGTTGTTTTACTCTTTATAAATAACCTTTGATTTTTAATCTTTTCTATTTTGTGTTTATTACATAATTTTATTACTTTCTGCTCTTTGTTACCCCTCTCCTTTCTTTCATGTTGCTGTTCTTTTTTCTTACTTCTTGAAATAGAAGCATGGCTCAAATTTTCACCTAATGCATGCATTCTTCAATGTTATAAATTTTTCCCTATGTCTTAGCTTTAGTATACGTTTTGATATACATAGTACTATTATTTAGTTCAAATTATTTTCCTTTTTTTTTTTCTGAGACAGGGTCTCACTCTTTCACACAGGCTGATATGCAGTGGCACAATCTCGGCTCACTGCAACCTCCACCTCCCAGGTTCAAGCAGTTTTCCTGCCTCAACCTCCCAAGTAGCTAGGACCACAGATGTCCACCACCACAGCTGGCTAAGTTTTGTGTTTTTTGTAGAGACACGGTTTCATTATGTTGCCCAGTCTGGTCTTGAACTCCTGGACTTAAGAAACTGATCCTCCTGCCTTGGCCTCCCAAAATGCTGAGATTATAGGAGTAATTGGCCTCAAATTATTTTCTAATATTTATTATCTTTTTTAATCTACATGTTATGTATAAGTACATTTTCATATAAATTCTAAAGTTCTTAAACATATGCAGTCATTTTAGTTATTTTTTTCTTAATTGTTTCTGTTTCATAGATTTAGAAACACTAGATAGCTCAGTTTCAGGCCATTTCATTCACTGATATTTAGTGTAATTCAAAATATATTGGGATTTGTTTTTATTGTATTATTTAGTACTTTCTACTTCTGACATCTTTGCTTTATTCCTTTTTTTCTTTCTCATCTTTTTAATTCATTTGGTTTTTTTTAATCATTCTACTTTTTTCCCCAATATTTGGAAATTAATTACTCATGTTCTTTTGGTAACTACCCTACATGTTATACCACACATACTTAGGAAGTCTGAAGGTAATCAAAGCTTTTATTCTCCTCCCAGAAAACTCAAGAACCTTGAAACATATTAGCACCATTAATTTCTCTTACCCAGCTTATATATTATTGTTGATAGGTTAATTACTATTCATTTAGTAAAAAATATATTACTGTTACAAACTATATATGAACAGTAATAAATGTAAAACAAAGTAATAAATATATATGAACAGTAATATATTTATTGTATATTACTGAATGAGATACTAGAAGCAATGTAGAATAAAGTAATAAATATATATGAACAATACTATTCTCATACATTCCATCTGGGACTACTTTCCTTATGTCTGAATTATGTCTTTCAGAAGTTCCTTTGGTAAAGATCTACTGGTGGTGAATTCTCAACTGCTGCTCATAAAATATATTTACTTTTTGTTTATTCTTGAAAGATATTTTTGCTGGGTATGGAATTCCAAGTTGACAGGTGTTTTCTTCTAGAACATTAAAGATAACATCTTTGGGAGCTGTGAACTGACAAAACATCAAGAGTTTATGCAGTAATAAGAGACATGAGAGTTCCAGTCGGCCAGAGTGGAACATCCTTGTTGAACACCCAGAGTATACAATAAAGATTTCAGGATCACTTTATCCTATTGTTAAAACTAAACTAGCCTAGAGTAAAAAGAATTGAAAATCTGTCTTGAAAAAGCTAAAAACAAGCTTCAAAATGAACAAGCTGGTCCTCAAGTAACTTAATTACCTGCCAGAACAAATCCAACAAAATAGATAAACAAAAGCAGGAAAATGGTACCCATAACCAGAAAAAAAGAAAAACAAAAACTAGTGCATCAAAACACACCCAGAAATGAGAGGGGATAAAATTATTATTTTTTTAATTTTTATTAATTAATTAAAATTATTAAAACATGAGAACTTTAAACCAGCCATTGTAAATATTCTTAGTGATTTAAAGGAACACATGAAGATGATAAGGAGAGAAGTGGAAGATGCAAAAAAGGAACCAATGGAAACCTGTGGATGAAAAATATTAGAGAATTTTAAAACTCACAAAATGGGATTAACAGCAGATCATACACTGCACAAGAAAAGATCAGAGAACTTGAAGAGAGCGAAAGAAACCATCCAAAAATGAAACATAGTGAGAAAAAAAGACCAAAGAAAAATTATGCACAGAGAGCCTCAGAGACTTTAGGGACAATATCAAGCAGTATAAAATACATACAACTGTAGTCCCAGGAGGGCAGGGATGGGAGTGTGGGAGTGTTTTAAGAAATAATGGGCCAGACACCGTGGCTGACGCCTGTAATCCTAGCACTTTGGGAGGCCAAGGCAAGTGGATCACTTGAGGTCAGGAGTTCGAGACCAGCCTGGCCAACATGGTGAAACCCCATCTCTGCTAAAAATACAAAAATTAGCCAGGAGTGGTGGCACATGCCTGTAATCTCAGCTACTTGGGAGGCTGAGGCAGGAGGCAGAGGTTGCAGTGAGCCAAGATCATGCCGCTGCACTCCAGCCTGGATGACAGAGTGAGACTCCAGCTCCAAAAAAAAAAAGAACTAACGGCCAAATTTTTTCCAAACTTGATGAAAACGCTTTGTGTAGTTATCTACTACTGCATAACAAATTGCTCCAAAATTTAGTGACTTAAAACAGCGAACATTTATTTTCTCACAGTTTTTGAGGATTAGGAATCTAGACATGTCTGAATCAGAATGCCTCTGACTCAGGGTTTCTCATAAAGTTGCAATCAACGCATTGACTAAAGCTGCATTATCTCAGAGCTTGACCAGGAAAGGATCTGCTCCCAAGCTCACTCTGTAGGTGTTGGCAGGCCTCGGGTCTTAACTGGCATTGGCAGGAGACATCAGTTCCTTGCCTTGTTGGTCTCTTTATGGGTCTAAAATGTGGTAGCTTGCTTCCCTCAGAGTGAGGAGAGAGGAGTGAGGGAGAAAGGGAAGGAAGTTGAAAGAGAGAAAGTAAAACAAAAGTCAAGATCTTTGTTTAAGCTAATCTTGAAAGTGACATCATATCACGTTAACCATATTCTATCAATTAAAAGTGAGTCCCTGGGTAGAGCCCACATAGGTGAGACTTCATAAGGACCTCATAAGGTAGGGATCATTGAGGTTCGTTTCAGAGCTTACGTGCCACGCCATTACATCACACCATACACAAAAATAACCTGAAATGAATCATAGACCTAAGCATAAAAAAGGAAAACAATAAAATATCTAAAAGAAAATCTTATGATAAGCAAAAATTTCTTCCAAGACACAATAATAAAGTACAAAAAATTTGATAAAGTGGACTATATTAAATTAAAAACTTCTGGCCAGGGGCAGTGGCTCATGCCTGTAATCCCAACACTTTTAGAGGTCAAGGTGGGCAGATCAGCTTGAGGCTAGGAGTTCAAAACCACTCTGGCTAACAAGATGAAACCCCCGTCTCTACTAAAAATACAAAAAATTAGCCAGGTATAGTGGCCCACACTTGTAATCCCAGCTACTCAGGAAGCTGAAGAGCGAGAATTGCTTGAGCCTGGGAGGTGGTGAGCCAAGATTGTGCTACTGCACTCCAGCCTGTGCCACAGAGCAAGACTCTGTCTCAAATATAAATAAATAATAAAAAATAAAAATAAATAAAATTTTTAAAATGTCTGCTTTTCAAAAGCCACCATTAAGAAAATGAAAAAAGACTGTGAGAAAAAAATTGCAATTAGTATATCTGACAAAGTACTTGATTTTTTTTTAATCTTACAACTCAGTAATAATAGACAATTTTACTGCAAAGTTAAATGTATACTCATCATGCAGACATGCAGTTTTACTCACAGATGTTACCCAAGAGAAATGAAAACACATCCACACATAGACCAACCTGGGCAACAGAGTGAGACCTCGTCTCTACAAAATAAAAAATAATAAAATTAACCAGGCATGGCAGTGCATGCCTAAAGTCCCAGATACTTGGGAAGCTGAGGTAGGAGGATCACCTGAGCCTGGGAGTTTGCAGCTGTGAACCCTGATCATGCCACTGCACTCCAGCCTGGGCAACAGACCAAGACTCTTTCCAAAAATAAAACCAAAATATATCGACACAAAAAACCTGTACACAAATGTTTGTAGATATTTATAATGGCTGAAAATGAGAACCCAAATGTACATCACCAGGTGCATGGATAAACACTCAGAAATAAAAAGGAACAAACCACTGATACACTCAACAACATGGATGAATCTCAAAAAGGAGATTGAAAAAAAAACAGATATAGAAGACTATATACTGTATGATCCCATATGTGTGAAATTCTAGAGAAGGCAATTCTAATTTATAATGATAAAACAGTTTGGATGCCTAGGACTGGGATTTGAGGGGTGGGGCAGTGACTACAAAAGGGAAGAGGGAACTTTTTAGGGCAATGGACCTATTCTGTATCTTTTTTTTTTTTTTTTTTTTTGAGATGGAGTCTCACTCTGTCACCCAGGCTGGAGTGCAGTGGCACGATCTTGGTTCACTGCAACCTCTGCCTCATGGGTTCAAGCGATTCTTCTGCCACAGCCTCCCAAGTAGCTGGGATACAGGCATGTGCCACCACGCCCAGCTAAATCTTGTATTTTTAGTAGAGACGGGGTTTCACCATATTGGCGAGGCTGGTCTCAAACTCCTGACCTCAAGTGATCCACCTGCCTCGGCCTCCCAAAGTGCTGGGATTACAGACATGAGCCACCGCATGTGGCTTATTCTGTATCTTAATTGCAGCGGTGGTTACATGAGTGTATGCTTTTGTCAGAGCTCACCAAACTCTACACTCAAAATGGCTGCACCTTATTTCCCACAATTATATCCCAATGAGGTTGATTTTAAAACCAAAATAAATATTGCCTTTGCATGATTCACTGTCTCCTGTCCTCCTAAGATTCTGATCAAAGGTATTTTAAACTGTTATATTGCATTTATTTGTCTCTCACCCTCTTTATTTTTCATCTTTTTTCATTGTGCTGCAGTCACACAGTCTCTTCTGATCTGTTATTTTACAAATTATCTTTTTTAATGTTCAATTTGCTGTTGTATATTCTCAAGGGGTTGGTTGGTTGGTTTGTTAACTATTATTTTAGGTTCATGGGTACATGAGCAGGTTTGTTGTGTAGGGAAGTTGCATGTCACAAGGGTTTGGTATACCTATTATTTTGTTACACAGACAATAAGCATAGTACTTGATAGTTTTCTGATCATCTCCCTACTCCCACCCTCCATCCTCAAGTAGGTGTCTGCTGTTTCCTTCTTTGTGTCCATGTATACTCAATATTTAGCTCTCACTTGTAAGTGAGAACATGCAGTATTTGTTTTTCTGTTCCTGCGTTAGTTCACTTAGGACTGTGGCCTCCAACTCCATCCGTGTTGCTGCAAAGGACATAATCTCATTCTTTTTTATGGCTGCTTTGTATTCCTTGGGGTATATATACCATATTTTTTTAATCCAGTCTACCATTGATGGGCATTTAAGTTGATTTCATGATTTTGCTCTTGTGAATAGTGCCACAGTGAATCTACACAAGCATGCGTCTTTGTAGTAAAAACAATTTATATTCCTTGGGGCATATACCTAATAATGGGAATGCTGGGTTGAATGGTATACTTCTGTTTTAAGTTCTTTGAGAAATCTCCTAACTGCTTTCCACAGTGGCTGAACTAGTTTCCATTTTCACCAGCAGAGGATAGGCATTCCGTTTTCTCCACAACCTTGCCAGCATCTGTTATTTTTCTGACTTTTTAATAATATCAATTCTGATGTGGGTGAGATAGTATCTCATTGTGGTTTTGATTTGCATTTCTCTAATGATCAGTGATGTTGGGCATTTTTTCATATGCTTGTTGGCCGCATGTATGTTTTCTTTTGAAAGTGTCTGTTCTTGTCCTTTGCCCACTTTATAATGGGGTTGTTTGTTTTTTTCTTATAAATTTGTTTAACTATATTGTAGATTCTGGATATTAGACTTTTATAGCATGCACAGTTTGCTAATATTCTCTCCCATTCTGTAGATTGTCTATTTACTCTGTTGATATTTTCTTTTGCTCTGCAGAAGCTGTTTAGTTTAATTAGGTCCCACATGTCAACTTTTATTTTTGTTGCAATTGGTCTTGGAGTCTTCATCATAAAATCTTTGCCAGGGCCTATGTCCAGATGGTATTCCCTAGGTTATCTTTCTGGGTTTTTGTAGTTTTAGGTTTTACATTTAATTTTCTAATCAACCTTAAGAAGATTTGTGTATATGATATTAGGGGTCCACCTTCAGTCTTCCACATATGGACAGTTATCTGAGCACCATTTATTGAATAGGGAGTTCTTTCCCCATTACTTGTTTTTGTCTACTTTGTCAAAGATCAAATGATTGTGGGTGTGTGACTTTATTTCTGGGCTGTCTATTCTGTTCCATTGGTCTATGTGTCTTATTTTTTACCAGTACCATGCTGTTTTGGTTGCTGTGGCCTTGTAGTATAGTTTTTCATTCATTAACATGG